>NC_000015.10:38731419-39034449 GCF_000001405.40 Homo sapiens | reverse complement strand
ACTGGAGTAGAACAAGACCATTGTCCTTATGAAGAATAAGTGTTCCATAAGAATTCAAAACAAATGATCAGAATTTAGAAGACTTCCATGAAGCTGTTAAAAAGTGACCATGGGTGATAGGCTAAGCATGTAAAGAGATCAACCAGTTGGCAGTTGGATAAGTTACCTACAAAATGTATTATGGAATGGGAGGTGGAGGAATATAAAGTTATTAAAACCTGGCTGTAGAATCCACGTACTTTGGACATGGTTTAACAGTAACTGAAATATAGAGGTGACTGGAATTAGCACAGAAAGTAAGTATTGAGATCCTGAAAAAGGCATGGTGTTCAGGCATTTGGAAGTTGTCAACAATGTGGAAAGAGATAAATGAGTTTCTAAGCAGGTTTCTATATCTTTCCTTTTACTTAATTACTTCCAAGTTGTCCAAGTTCTCTTGCATTAGGGCAGTGTGATCAGAGCACTTATGAATAAACAATCTCATTTCTGCAGATCAGTTAGTAAATATTTAAACACCTATTTGTGTAAACATTTGCTCTGAGACATGTGAAAATCACTACAATAGATGATTTGGGTAACAAACATAAACTTCTATATTATTCAGATTATTGCCAAAGATATAAGGAATGCATTGTAGGATATTAAAGGAGGGAGAGGGGATCCTCCCCACAAATTTACATGCTAACAATGTGCAATCTAACCAGTGACATCATATGTCTAAGACTCTTTGAAGAGAATTGGGAGAACCAGACAAATGTTTAGTAAAGATTAAGGGAATAGGGGAAGAATATATGAGATGTTTTCGAGTTAGTGAAATTTCCTGAAGGCTCACTGTAGAATAGGGCATTACTGTAGAATAGGGCATTACTAAGACACACATGTGCATGCACACACACACACACAGACACACACACATTAGTGATGAGAAAATATATACAGCCACCGGCCAATCTAGCCCACTTCCTACCAGGGACTCCAGAAGCCTCAAGAACCCATTCCCAGGCTGAAATTCCGCAAAAGAAACAGCCAGTTCTGGTGGAGGAATGATCATAGCCCAACTCTTTGAAACAACCCATACCCCATCATTCCTACCAGCCATCAGAAAGGATAGTGATGATTTTATTTTAAAGGAGGGTTACAGACATATTTTCAGACCAGCTAACTTAGAGGTGAGAATACCCAAATGACCTTTGGGACAGGACAAAGAAAGAACTGTTTAATGAAGAAGAATATTCGTGTCAGGAATTTGGAAGATGAGGTTGCAAAAATAGGTCAGAACCTAATAATAGAGAACCTTTAAAGCTTAGAAAGGAAAGCTCAAAGTTTCTCTTGTTGGCATGGGAAGGGAGTAAAAGATTTATGAGCTAGAGAAGGGATCAAACATTAAAAGGTATATGTTTTATATATACTTTTCAAGGAGAAAGGTACTACTTTTCTGGTTGGTAATGATGGGATAGACTGCAGTGGAAGGAAGACTTAAGACAAGAAGCAGAGAAAACAGGTTGTTGTGACTGCCATGAATCATGCACAAGGGCTGGTTATACCATAAGGCTAGAAATAAGAGATCTTCTTAAACTAAAATTGCATGAGTGTTTTAAAAAATTACTTTTACTTTTCATTAGGAACAAGACTCAATCATACATAATAGTAGAGAATATAATAGAATAACCTCCCAAATACCTAATACCCTAATTATCAATATTTTGTCCATCTTGTTTCATTTATCTCCCTCCCCCACCACTGTTTTTACATATGTTTAATTTTTTATTTTGAAATAATTTCATGCTGAAAAGAGTTGCAAAACTAATGCCAAAAATGTCCAGACACCCTTCAACCAGATTCCTCACGTTAACATTTTGCCACACTTGTTTTGTTCTTCAGATTATTTCTCTGTGTGTCTCTCATTTTATTGCTCAAATTGTCCCAGATTTGGCCAGTGAGAGCCCCTGCAAATTGGCTCCTATATTCTTCTGACATTTCCCTGTCATCCTTTCAGTTCTTCCTGATTTCTGACACAATACATTTTTCCAGGCTCATGTTATACCTTCCATGCCACAACCCTGGAATCAAACATTTCTCCAAGGACCTCTGGTTCTTTTTGAGGAATTATGTATAGAAACAAAAATATGGGCATTAAGTATACTGATTTTTGCTGCTAGGCTATCTTAATAAACATATCTAGAAAAAAATATAGATACCATGTAGTTGTATCAATAACTATATGTATATCTATTTCTGTATATAAAATCAAGAGTTCATACTGAGACCTTCAAGTCCAATCCAATACCATAGGATTTATTCTAGCCTTACTCCTTTCCTAATTTTAATCTCCTTTTCTAACAGTGAAAAAGCTGACTGTTATTATCCACAATATAGCTAAAATCACACTTTTAATGAATTATCTATAGTATTCACTGGTAACTTTCTCTCTTTGACCTGGCTACACTTGCTTTCAGTAGAGAAGAGGAAGAAAAATGCCCACAGTGAACAACAGTTGACATATATATTCCCCACATTTTCCAATACAAAGGCAAACATAGAGTGAAATGTTTCCAGGGCAGTTAAGGACTAGTAACCTCACATGTGTCCTTAGATGGGAGTTTATTTTCTCAGACTAAGTCTGGGCTTGACATTCCAGCTGCTTGCCCTTCCACTGCAGAGGGATATGAAGAAGTCTGCACCAGCCGCTAATGGAGAAAGCAGCTGCCTCCGGAGAGAGGATGAGCCACCCTTTCCAGTCCCCCGCCTCCCCAAACTTCTCCCCATCACTGCAAACACAGCGTGCACAACCACACACAAATGAAGGGAAAAGGACCCCTGTTTGTTGCTAGGAAATCCTATTGGAAGTGAGAAAAGTCTCCCTGTAAGCAAATTCTTTTTTAGCCATTTTTTCTTTTAAATGGCGATTTGCATGAACAATAATTCGAGCCTGATGATTTTATTTGTGAGTGGTTGCCCACGTGGATTTGTGCAGTTTCCTGAGAAGGTGGGTGAGTGATCACATTATTTTAGGAAGTTTGTTTGCAGAGTCTTAATTCATTGGTTAAACACATGGTTACTGAGAACACTTTGTGTGTCAGCTACTGTGTTGACACATGAAATATAGATATGGAACAGAGCCTCAAGAGCACATGGTATAGTCACCAGGAACAGAAGTAGGACCTCTTTTCCCTAGGGGATAGACCATTTCTGATGGCTTTAAAGCAACCACCTGATATGGTATGATGTAGGTAATGCTTAGCAGCTTTCTCTAATTCTTAAGTATCTCCCTGGCACTTCTCATGATGTCTCAAGTTAGTACTTTTTGTGATTCCTTCCTAAAAGCTTTGTGAATTTCTTATAGCATTTCGTATTAGTATAAACACTTTGGCAGGATATTTGTCTTAAATCATGATGACAGATGACATATTATTGATATTATTTAGCAGTAAACTTAGGGCAAGGTCTTATGAGTAGAAACTCATAAGAAGGAAGGCAAGTCAATTGGAAGTTGAGGGCAGGGGATCCTAGCTAACACCATCAGCAATTTCTTAATCTTCTGTCTATAAAAACTGGTCAGCTGAGAACAACAGCTGATACCTCTTACAATATATAACCCAAAATATGTGTTTTGTCATTCCATCCAAAAAGGAATATAAGGAATGTCATCAGCTGCTGTGAAGCAAGAACAGATCCGAAACTTAGATGCAGGTCCTCTCCCCCACATAATTTAAAAGTGATTGCTTTTCATATATTTTTCCCCAAAAAGTGTACAATGAACCTATATCACCCTGCTTTCATAATAAGGTTAGGAGGGAGCACTCCAAAGGGAAGACCTAATACCACAGCATGTGTTGGTTAGGATTCTTGATGGCGGTGACATAAACACAGCTCAGCCAGCTTAAGGAAGATCAACTGAAAAGAAATATAGCCACAGCTCTGATGGGAGATAATGCTTCGTGGTTCTCTCAGGTTTCTGAATTTTTTGTGAGTAGAGGCAATGACTAACTTTTTAAAAGGATGTTTGTATAGTGAACAGTCACTCGAACAGAGAAAGGCTTATAACGGACAGGGTTACTGCCCATTATAAAAATCTGGATTTCCTAAAATCAGGATTCCTCCTCAGTAATGCAACTCACTGTGAGTACAAGTGTCTCTCGGTCCTCTATACATCACCATGTGGGAAATGGGACTGGAGGCACTGGCACCCTGGCTACTGCTATTGTTGTGAGTAATAACATCCTTTGTCTCTGAACCAAGTTTCATGTCTTCAACTAGTATCCATGAAACTGTGGCAAGTTCACTTGTTAGTTTGCAAGCAAAGTAAAATCTCAGACCCTTCCCAGAACTTGTCAACTCAAAGGATCAAAGTAGATACTAACTACCAGAACCAGGGTCTCAAATTCATTTCCTTAAGGACTCTCTCTCACCATCCCTTATCCATTTCTGTCTATTCCTGTTTGGCTTTAGTCTGTAGACGGAAAAGAGAAATGGCTTTTGTCAGTCCCAGATTTATAGTCTCTCAGCTCAGCAGCTGTCTGTGTATTGTTCCCAGAGAAGAACTCTGATTGACTTAATTTGGAGCATGGCCCCCAGGATCTATCTTTATTTGACAGGTATACCCATGACATATTCACTAAGAGTATATTTTTGGAACATGCTCTTGAACATAAAAATTCTTGGGAATATAGCTTCTAAAAATATGAACAACTTAATGAAGAAGATATTAATGTCAATTACTTATATTCAAAACTTTACACTCATATGCCCTTCAATTTTACCTCTCTCTCTCCCCCTCATTATTCAGCTACAGCAGAGAGTTGGGAAAGAGAAATAAAGCATTCCTAAAATGGCAGTGAAGAAGGTAAAATAAAACTAACTATAAAAGTTAGAAGAAAAGTAAATTCTGTTTACTTTTGAAATGGTCATTTGGAAAGTGGATCATTCTGCAAGTTGGTTCCGGACAAACTCATATAGAACCCTCCTTTCCACTCCTGCTCTGACCCCTGCTAATATTAACTCCTCTTCCTTCACTCCCTTATTACTACACGTGTCTATTTCCCCAATAAGCTCTTGAGAGAACAGAGATTTCTCCTTATGTTTCACACAAAGTATTTTCTACAAATAAAACTTTTTTAATGTCCACAAAAAAGACTCTTACCAGGCTCTTCTTGTAAGTAAAAGGTCTTATAAAGCAGTGGTCCCAAAACTTTTTGGCACCAGAGACCAGTTTTGCAGAAGACAATTTTTCCACACACCAGGGCAGCCAGGGATGGTTTCAGGATGATTCAAGCACATTAATTGTACACTTTATTTCTATTATTATTACATTGTAATATATAATGATGAAATAATTATACAACTCACCATAATGTAGGATCAGTGGGAGCCCTGAGCTTGGTTTCCTGCAACTAGATGGTCCCATCTAGGGGTGATGATCGTGACAGATCCCTCGCACGCACAGTTCACAACAGGGTTTATGCTCCTATAAGACTCTAATGCTACCACTGACCTGACAAGAGGCAGAGCTCAGGCAGTAAGGTGAGTGATGTGGGGTGGCTGTAAATACAGATGAAGGTTCGCTGACATGCCTGCCCTGTTGCTCCCTGCTGCTGTGCAGCCCGGTTCCTAACAGGCCACAGACCGGTAGGGCCTGGGGGTTAGAGACATCCATCATAAAGGAACACAGGAAGACGAAAGATCCCCCAAATGCTGATTTATATTGTTCTCAACAATTCTTTCCCTCTAGTTTGAAAGAAAGAATTGCCTAAGTTCCAAAGACTTGAGCAGACTTTATTTTCTTGCTCATTAATTCTCAGTTTTAAGAAACTGTTAAAAAATAGAGCTCAATCAAACTAATTAGAATAAAATTTCCTGTTAAATTATGTGAAGATCATTGAGGTCATATTAAAATAAGCTCTGTAACTTCTATTTGAAAACACCTTTCTTTGCTCATGTACCTTCTTCTGCCAATTTTTCCCCAAATTGCTTAAATACTGAAATTTTTAATGAGTCTTTGTTTAATTTTGATATTAAATGGATGGTTATAGCTTGGTGTTTTTTTTTTTGTCTGACTCTTCATACTTATTGCTGCCTTTTACCTTGGTAAAGAGGCAAGAGAGGCCAAGGCCTTGAAATGAGGACTCTGGACAAAGACAACGGAGCCAGTTTGGCTTTTGCAGGGTCAGTGAGTCATGGTACAGTCACAGATCCCCACGGGCTCAAGCCCATTGGCAGGCCAGCTGAGCCTCAGCTTCTGTAGCAGGTAGGCCAGCCAACTGGATGACAGTGGATTAATATTACTAGTCTTGGTCTGTTTTCCTTTAGTGCAGTGCTTTGAGTATATATATATTTCTTAAATCTGTTTTCAAATGACGATGTAGCTGATGGTGATTTTACAAACCGTTATCATACTTACTAGAACGGCCTTAGGCAACGTCTTTCACTTAAAGCATCTCCTGACTACTTTGAACCCCCGAATTTCCCTGTAAATTAAATACTGAAATAATTCTAATTATGTGACCTTTTTCTAGGAGATCTATATCAGCCACATTTTAAAAAATAACATGGGACAATTATGGATTACATTAGGTCAGACCTATAACATGGGACAATTATGAATTACATTAAGTCAGACCTATAGATGTAAGTTTCTGGAGCGCTTGGAATTGATTCCAAGGACAACTCCTATAATCGACCCAACCATCTTTTCCTACAATGGATAGTCTAGTATGTGATGTGGTGCAGGGAAATCCCAAGAGATAACTTCTGCATCTGCAACACAGACATCTGAAATGCTTCCATAGATGACATACTTATCCATGGAAGTATATTGTTCTTATTGACAGAGAAAATAAAATTCTGTTTGGGCTGCAAGGCTTTTTTTAATCACCTCAGTAAACAATAGCCAAGAAATCAGTGTGTCTCATCTTCATAGATTTACATTTAAGAGCTTTATTGATTTTGTATGATGTTAAAATTCTGAAGGCCTGAACAAAAGAGATATCTTATTTTTTTTACCAGTGTAACTAGCCACTTAGAATATTTTGATGGTAGTACAAACCAAATGCTTTGTTCTGGAATAAATAAATAGCTTTCTGAGAGTTCCAAATTTTGGCTAATTCTTGATCAAAGCAAGCACAGTCTTTTCATTGACAGTGGAATAGACATGTGTTAGCAAATATTAAGTACATCAATTATCATAGTTTGCCATTCTTAGACATAGCCAGATTTATAAAATATTCTAAAAATAAGCCTCACAGAATTTTTAAGAAGCAAATAACAACAACAAAAATAACTGGTTGGGGAAAAATATGTAGTAAAGAGAAGAAACTTAAAGAAAAAGAGGAGGAACAATTCAGTACTCATGATGAACTATGAGAGACAGTTTTCAAATGCTCATTCAGTTAAGTCAATATAAATTCAATAATTTTTGCAAACTAAGAAATCTTAACTAAAGGTAATTAGTAAAGGATGAGCCTAACCTAATAATAATCAAGTTTTGAGGAATGGACACGAAAGAGAAAACTAGCATATTATATTACTCCTTTTTAAGATTGCATATAGAGTTCATGTATTCTTCACCGTCAAGATTAATCTGGACATCTGATGAATAGTCTCAGTAAGTGTTGTTTAATAATACAGAGGCAAGAAAAATATCTTTTGGCCAGATAATATGAGACTCAATTTTCTTAAATACTACTTAATAAACCATCAGAAGAAGCTAGGTGGGTTGGAATGAACCTTTGTTTTCCTGTATAAATTTGAGCTAAACTTTGATAAGATATTGATATTTTTATAGGCTTAATATTTGTGACTTTTAAAAAGTAGAGGTTGTTTCTTCCCTAGTGTGGATTATGACATAGACAAATAAAGAGGAAATTAGTGAAGAATTCTTATCTGATTGTGTAGACTTGTTCCATGTAATGCATAATTACAGTTCATCACAATTGATATACATAAGTCAAATTTTATTTTTGCTCTTTCTTAAACTTGTTTTCATTATACTGTCTTTTCTTCTTCTAAAATCCACTTTTCTAGATGTGTGTCCTCATTCCTATACCCCCAAAGCATTTAGTTAGCCAGTCATTATACCTTTACATTGGGAGCACTCATTAAGGGAGGAGGTGAGGCCTCTGAATGACTGAAGAATCCATAGTATTTCCTTCCAAAGTAAAATCTCTTTGCTCCTTTATTGGACTTAAGATTCTGTTGCCAATAAGCATCTGTAATAGGGAATTGCTGAAGCTCAATGGGTAGAATGACCCATGCGTGTCAAAGCAAAAATGCTGAGCTCAGATGTGGCAGGCAGATAGTGTCAAATCCAGCAGGCCACTGGATAACCCTTTCCTTAGTGGCCTATGAAGGGAAGCCAATTTCCCTTCTGCTTTCTGCCCACAGACATGCCATTCTGTCATCTTCCCTCATCTACTTTATAGAATACAGCTGCCCATCAGATAGCACTGCCCTGCTAAGCCAACCCAGTCTTCCCCAGTGGAAATTTTAGAGCTAGTGATCTTATTTTCTAATGAAAAGTAAGACCTTAAACTCTGAGTCAAATACAGGCCCTGGGTATGTTTTTCTGGGGCAGCATCTTCTGGGCGCATGTGTATGTACCTCTCACACCTGCACAGCGTTGCCTTTCCCAGTTCTAAGAAGAGGAAGCCAAACTCCACATGAACACTGGGCTGAGAAACAAGGCAGGGAGAACAGACAAGCCCTGGTGAGGTGTCTGTAACGCCAGGGCACACATGGTACCCTGGGCTGTCCAAGGGAGGTGTGACACTGTTTACCAGGGAGAGTGGCTGTGCAGCCTGGCTCCCTACGCCCTGTCTGGCCTATGAAATTTGATCGAAATCACAGAAGGCAAAAACATATTACTTTGACCACAATTCACATTCCGTAGGAGGAGACAGGATTAGAACATTTCTATTCTTGCCCAATGCTGCTAAATTTAAAGTCAATTTAACTGTTCACTGCAGTCTTCCTTCAAAAGACCAAAAGCAAGCCTCATTTTCTGGTGGCAAAATGCTCTGGAACATCATCATGAGCTGTGTTGTTGCGCAAAGGAAGATGGCAGGTCACAAAAAACAGTCTTAAGCTCACAGCCAAGGCTGCTGCTAAATACCACCACTTATGCCTTTATTCTTACTCTCATCCATTTATGTCTGAGTGTATGTATTTAGACAATAATTTCCTAAGCTTGCATTATACTAGAATATGAAGGTGAATGAGGCACAGTCCCAGCCCTTGAAAGGCAAACAGACAGTCTAATAAAGACGGGCACACACATAAACAAATAGAGAAAATTCTCCATCAAATTAAATCTGGGGTGCTGATGGCTCCCCTCTCCTTTTCACTTCTGCATCCTTCCTCAGCTACTCTCTCGAGTCTTTCATTTCCTGTTTACTCAAGGACCCTGCTTATCATTTGAAAGGCAACTCAAAAGTAACTCTAGCCTTCCTCTTTCAGGAAGCCCGTGTGGATTTACCAGGTGAGACCCAGGAAATATTTTACAGTTGACTTCACAATTACTTTCTTCTTATTCAGCCTTCCTCTCTAGGCTTGAATCTCCACTCTCCTCCCCTTTACAATTTTTTAAACCAACCTTATTCTGTGACAAATAATTTTTTTAGGTTATATTTAACTTCTTGAAGATATCAGCATCTTGACTAGTTTTCAACCTTCTCGTGCCATTCGGGATTTTCAAGGACTTCTATAGGCTATCAAGCTTCTGCGGACTCATTTACATTGACTTCATCAGATCTCTGTGACAGGCGTCAACTAGAAAAGCTCTTCTTCCTCCATTCAGCCTGAGATCAAAGATCCCTGGAGGGAAACATGGGCAGAATTGTGGTAGTTAAAGTCTTTGTTTGGAATTAACTTTTATTTCTGCTCGCCCACCAGGCCGAGGGTACTAAATCCTAAGGGTTATTTTCCTACCTCTACTTGAAATAATATTACACAGTATTATTTTATATAGGTGAAAAGGCCAGTCTCTAGGTCTAAGGAATGGCTCTGAGCTTACTGTTCCACCTGTACCTGTATGATCAGCGCCGTCAAATGAAGGAACTCAGGAGCCCTCTTCACCACCTCCTTCCTCCAGCCTTACCTTAGGGGACTGCTTGAAGACTAGCGAGCATTCCCTTTCCGTGACATCACGTGCCTCCACCCCTCAACTCCAGTGGCTGGAACAGGAGGCTAAGCATCTCTTGGGCAGCTAGTATTTAAAGCTCTTTGCTCATTTCTATATGTGTGTCTTCTCCCCAGAGAAAAAGATGGCAAATCATCATGGAAGAGGGATGAGAGATTGAAGAACTAGAGTTAAAATTGGGGTTTGGAGAGGGTTACAGCTTAAGGAAACTTGAGAAACGACCTCTTAGAATAGAATCCTAGGATTGACTAAAAAGCATTTGCCCAGAAAAAAAAAAAAAACCTAAGGGAAAGAATTTAAGTTACTTGGAGTTTTCAGCAAAGAATTTGACAATTCTAAACTGTGGTGATCTGTACCCAGGAAGGAACAAGTCCCTGGCCTGGTCTCCTGCATCCCGAGGCACCTGAAACAGGAGACTGAGATCCCAGCATATTGAAATTACATTAACTGAAACGTTATTTTCTTTCCATGGAAAAATTATAGCAAGGAGATTAGGGTATGATTAAGTGCATTTCAAAGGAAAATAAACATGTATTGCAATAAATAACCATAAAGTAGATTTAATGATACTCTAAAAGCACTTTCATAAATTGGAAAAACAGTGAAACTTCTTTTTCACCATGCCTGTATTTTCACAGAGCATTATATCAATGATTAGAAATCTTCACCACTAATTCAGGGGCTGTATTGATTCATGGCATGGCGCTCAGCTGACCACCTCACATTTCTGTGAGTCCAGGTCTTTCTCTGCAAAATGAGATACTTCTTTTCTACTTTCTCAGAAAGCATATTCTGAAAAAGTAACACAATAAAGGGTTTTATCTCTTAGAAAACATGATGCTCACAGATACACAACCTTTATTTTTATACACAACCTTTTTAGCCAACAATTCTAAGTATACCCTCATTGTAACTCCCTGACGCAACATGCACACAGGCACATACACACACAGAGCAAGAAGTTGCAACAGATCCAAATAAAGTTACAGAGAACAAAAATATTGGAATGGGAGACCAGACTCAATATCGCTTCCATAGAACACAGAATATTTTAAACAATAGCACACTTCATTAAGTCAAGATAAACACAGGAGTTTCAAAATTTAGAGCAGGCAGCCACCAATATATTACCCCTCCACTCTGTGGAGCCATCATACTGTCCGTGAGCCATCTCAAAATATATCAGCTTCCTTGGCAACATTCCCCACACCAAATATGATCTCTCCTTTGCAATGCCCTTTCCATGGGTCTAATATACTGCACCATTATCACCTAGTGTTTATTTATAAGCAGCCAGTCATCACTTCTGGCTGGAATGTCAAAAGCTCTGTCTGGAGAGCTTTTGAAAAATATCATTCCTACCATCCACCCTCAGAAATTCTAGTTTAATTGACCCTAGATGGGACAGAAGAAATCTGAGTTTACAAGGCTCACCAGGTGATTCTAATGCGCTTGGGATCAAACACTGTGGTTGAACAAGAGAGAAGCTTTCACTTATCCAAGTGGAGAGAGTGAAAAAAAATGTATTGATGCCCCAAATAAGTACCTTACTTAAGGAATCACTCTTATGCAAGACAGGCACAGCTGTGTCCCTGATGGCCCAATGTGTCACTCCTCATGTTACAAGTGAAATTCTGCATTTAATTCTGTGCTTTTGGGCAGGCTGACCATATCATTTATCCCTCAAACTAGGACACTTTTGAGAGTGAATTGCTTAGGTAGAACCAGCCAAACTGGGGCACCCTAATTATAATAATGAGCCACCCTAATTACGGGAGATCTTTCTAATTGGGAAACATTTACAGACTTTTGGGATACAACTTATTGCCCTAGAACAAATTAGTTTTCTCATTTGTAGAATGGGAAGAATACTTATCTTACAAATTGGATAGATTTTTAAATGGAGACATTTATATGAAATACCTTTGTGAACTTTGAAGTGCTATATGTATATAAACTTTATATAATACTATTTGAGCAAAACAGTTTCCATCAGAGAGATGGCATGACTAGAAAGTGTTAGTGTAGGACAATTGACAATTATTATTCAGGACCCTCTTTTCTCCTTCAATCCCACTGCAAATTTGGAAGTCAAGTGAGCCAAAAGAAGAAATCCACAGATCCCTGTCAAAGGCACCCATTGTCCTGTCATAGGAGGTGTTACACCTCTAACATGTTAGGTGCCTTTTGCCAAATATTCTGGCACATATTTCTTAGAACATCGAAGAGAATTTACAACTGCAGGATGATAGTTGCAAAAGTCTTCAGTAACCATTACCAAACCTACTATGCTTTACAGATTAAAAGACAATGTAATTTAGAGAAGGAAGGGCCTTCAGAGATGCTCACCACTGCTAGCTTTATTTCCTTGGTTGTTTCTTAACCTTTCTCATTCTCAGTTTCCTTATGCAAAAATGGAGAAAATGATGATCTCTTATCCTAAGGTTGTTTGAGGATTGAAGTGGAAATATTAGTATCTAGCACATGGAAGGCACATAATAAATGACAGCTGTTGCCACTATTATCATCACTATCAGTTCTTGATCTGTTCAGTAACCCATGAAGCAAACAGTGCAGAAATAGCTCTAACAAAAAGCAGAAGAGCAGCAGAGGAAGAGGAGAAAGAAAAGGATAGTCATTTTCATTTTGCAAATGTGGATGGATACTGAGGCTTGGGTTTGTTATTACAAGTGACATGTCCTGTTGTATCCAGAGAGCATGCTTTACACAAGCCTGGCTGAAGGATCTCATTTGTCGTGGAGCTGCACATTGATGGCATAGCACAGCAGGTGTCACACAGAGCCACAGACCCATTTATGGTAACCATCACCTTCCTCTTTCCTGTGGCCCTGTCCTTTGAGGTTATTTTCTTAACCTCCCTGACCATGCACATTTTACATCCACATCATGCCATCCTTAGTATTTAACTACGAGGTGGAATGTATCCCAACACATTTAGATAATTTATTTTTAGTGCTAAAATGTTTTTATAACCTAGCCCAGATTAGATGGAACCTTTTCCTCTTTTCCAGTGCAAGACAAGCGATTGAAAGAAGTGGATGTGTTATTGCGGGCACAATGGAGCCACTGAACTGCAGTGCAAAAATGCAGTAAGGGATACAGATAGAAGAAGGAGAATGTCAGGAAAAGACAGCAGAGGTTCCATAGCTAAGGTCAGAAGGGACAAGGAAAGAGTGCTCCTTCTCTGCCCTATCCCAGAGAGATGAGGCAGGTAAAAGGAGGGCCATTGAGTTGGAGCTTTATGCAATCTAGGGTTCTTTGCTTTGGGAGTGGATGTATGCCTTGCAAAGAGGAGATATTCCTGCCTCTACTTCTGGGGAGGAGCTGGGTGAATGGATGTTGTTGCTAACACCCCATCTGCCTGGTTCATGGGTTTCTACATCTAAGTCTTAAAAGATTGGTGGGTTTAGCAACCAAAAGTTTGTTATCAAGGGCTTGAGAAGAACAAATCACTAGGTCCTTGTAAAGAATCTTTCATTCTTAACTAAACTTGAAATCCCAAATCTCAAAATAAATATGAAACTAGGCTTCCTATGTAGCAAAGTGCCCTATAATTTTCAGCTCACTAGACTCTATAAATTCTAGCTTTTGAATTCACAGGCGACATTCGGATGGGTAAATGAGTTCACTTGTCCTGAGATCTGGCTGCAAGATTTGGTACCTGATATGAACCTAAATCTGAGGATAGTGTTGGGAGAAACCTTCCTGACCCCAGTCTTCATTTCTCTTTTGCCTATTATTTTACTTGCATATGGTTATTTAAAAGCAGCACATATTGTGGAATGTGAATCTCAGCATTTCTGATGGAGTATTCCTTAGATAAAGAAATAGGGAAGGCAAAGCCAGTTAAACAGTCAGCTTGGCGGACTCCAGCAAAAGAGCTATTAACAAAATATTGAGATCTGTGGAAAGATAAAGTCCATAGAGTTGAAGCACTGACCTCTACACATTCATAATCAAAACATGAAGGTAGCAGAGTCTAGGATTTGTTTAATACTCTCCTATCCTCTTCTCTCCCTTTCTCTTATTTCCTTCCCCTTTCCTGCCCCCTTCACACCACAGACACACACACAAGACCTGGATGATAGCTTAATGGCAATTCCATACCCACTTTTAATCTACCCAAATTACCAGGTTCTCCCTGCCATATGCCAAGGTGCCAGTGAGCTTTCTGGTGCCACCCAGCAATTCAGAGTGGTTACGATGGTAAGATGAGAGCTGTGCCTCTGCTACAGTTGGCCTCACAAACTCCCCTTGCTTATGGCTTCTTAACTTTGCAATAATAAGCCCCTTGGAGAAAAATAAAAAGCCAAGGAATGAAGAAGGGATCCCAGACTAAATGTGAAAAGAAGAAAATAAAACACCCATTTTCAAATCAGAAGACAGGAAAAAACAGGGGCAGGAACTGGTTGTTAAAGGTATTGTTTTTATAGGACTCGTGGCAACTAGAAATTCACTTTATGTATAAAAGACAAGGACATGCATTGATTGGAAACTGCATAAAAATTACAGCTGGCATTTCTGTTTTCTTGTTTTAATTTTTAATTACAAATTCATTCTTGTCTTCGTAATATTTTCTGTGATTTGGTCATTTTCTATTTTGACTAGTGAAAGATTCTCCTACAATCTCAGAGTATGAATTGGCTGAATTGTACAAGTGGAATAGAGGAAAAACTCCCCTTCACTCACCCTTTTATATTTAGCCCTTTCTTTTACATGGCCCTAAGAGAGCTTCCCAAATCCTGTCATTATCAAGTATAAGACCCTTCGCAATTTCAAGGGTAGCCAATGTCCCACCACACTTTCAGACCCCATCTCAGTTTCTTCCTTGGTGTTCCGCTCATTTAACTTCCTTTGTTTCCATCTCCTGTTCTTTCCCTTGGCAAATGTTGATGTGCTAGGAATATAGCAGTGAAGACACAGAACAAAAATCTCAGCCCTTATTTAAATAGAAGAGATAGGCAATACTTACATTTTGTTTCATGGTGATAGGTTAAGGAAAAAATGAAACAAAAAGCTGAATGATTGTTGTGTTTGCCTGGGTAGATCGAGTTGTTAAGGACTTCCTCCTTGAGTAAAGCAAGCCCTATCACTACTGGTGGTCAGAGGGCAAGTGATGTCAGGATGCTTATTCTATTATTATGTCTCAACTGACACACAAACAACTTCCAAACAGCTGCTTGACACCAGGTCAAGGAACAGTGATCTTATTTAATATGCTTTGTGTTCACGGTGGCAGGCATTGTGACGGAAGTAAAAAAGTAACAGAAATAAAAGACAACTTTGTTTTTATTTTGAAATTCCGAATAGATTCCACTTTCTTGAGGGTAGAAATCAGCAGTATGAATCATTATATGCTTTGAAAACTTGACAGAAACCATGCTGTAGAAAAACTGTGCCACAAGTAGGACATCAGAGAAGGCTCCATCTAGTAGCTCGCTTATGATCTATGATCTGAGCTTTAAAACACATGACATGGGTGTCTGGAAAAGGACATTGGAGGTGAGGGGAACAACAGGGCTCTGTAGTCCCGGATTCCTCAACAGAGTTTTAAAATAATCTATGAGCCAATGCATTTGGAGCTCCAAGATAATTTCCAACCTTGTCTCCAACTCTCTCTGCCACTTTCACCCACCATACATTGTCTCCTTTCTTCATGCCTAATTATGAGTTCAGTACTCAGGATCATGTTCTTTTCAATGTTTTTTTCCTAAGAACGTCATGAGCACCAGGCTCTTCATAGGCTACTGAAATGAGGAAAGCTCTGACCCTCCACTCAAGAAGTTGCTACGCTGGTAAGTGAGCTAACAACTATCCAATGATGGTATATAATGCTCACTCTTTCACAAAATCTGCTCTCCTTTGTTTTATTTTCCCAGAAGAAGCTGCATTTCCAGTCTCCTTTGTAGGTATAGATAGCTTCAGTTCTGGCCAATGAGGCATATTCCAGAACTCTTCCCTAAAATTCATCTTTAGTTGATTTCTGCTTCTGGTACAAAACCAGCCTACTTAGCACAAATAACTAGAAACTTAGGCAAAATACATAAAACAAATCTTTCAGACATTGAGAGAACAGGCAGAGTGGGACTGTGATCACTGAGAAAAGGAAAACAGAGGTGAAGCCTACTATTGCCCTTGCTTTCTGCCTATAGACAATTTCTGGAAGATGGCAAAGGGAGGAAGATCCCAAGAAATGCAAAAGAAATGTTGCTAAGCTGAAAAGACAAATATTGAACTTGTGGGAGGATGAGACAGCCAGAATTTGCAGGGCAAATTATTGGAGAGTAACAATTTCTGTAGAGAAATATGCATAAAGGCCCCCTTAACTATGCATGGATACAACAAAACTCCACAAAGCTGCACAAATAGTAACTGCTCAGGAAAAATACTCCGGGAACTGTAACCTGCACAACTCCTAGAGTTTAAGCAAGGTTAAGAGATACTCAAATCCCTTCCAGCCAGAGCTGAGAAACCCCACTGAGCCTCAAGGAAGTCGGTAAAGAACCTAGAGAATCATGTGTTGGTAGTTTCGCTTAATTAGCCCTAGAGTTAGGGCTACTTTGGACAACCCTAACAAAGCTTAAAAATAAGTTTTGAATACATTAATATGATTTGCAAGTAACTTAATTGCCTAACAAGACAAACTTAAGCCCTCCTTAGAGAAAAATAATAATTAACACCCATTATTATAACATTCATAATATATTTAATAAAAATTCACTAGACAAGCAAAGAAACACTATATTACCTCAAAACAGAAGAAAATAAGCAGAATCAGAAGTGACAGAGATAATGGAATTATAAGAGAATAATTTTAAATCAACTATTATAAATGTAATCAATATTTCCTAAAGGACAAGATAGTGATAATCATAATAAATGAATAAGAATACTTCCAGAGATAAAAATACAATATCTGAAATAAAATTTTTCTGAATACGGTTAATAGTAAATTGATACTGCAGAAGGAAACATCAGTAAAAATGAAGACACAGCAATAGAAACTAAATTGAAGCACAGGAAGGAAAAGAAGAAAAAAATAAAGAGACTCAGTGACCTGTGGGACAATATCAAACAACCAACACATGCAAGATTGTTTTCTGAAAGGAGTTGAAAAAAAAGGTACATAAAATTTTTTTGAGTAAATGCTGGGGTCTGACCTGCAGACCCAGGCTGCACGGTGGATGAATAACATACTCAGACACCGATATAAAGTGAAAGAGTGGCTAGGGAACCAGGCCACTCACAGAAAGAGTTGTAGCAGCCATATAACCTGACTAGCTGGCCCTGTGGGCATTTATTCAGCACAGATTTAATAACAAAGGCTTTGAGTCAACACACTTGTGGATAATTAATTAATGTGGTTGCCTTCCCCAGAGAGAGCAGTCCTACAAATGATTGGTCTTCGGACCACAGGAGTCAACAAGCTCTTTAGATAAACTCCCTTACATTCCTTTATACCTACTCTAAGCTATCAGCTCACGGGAAGAGGATAAGGCTGTTTTCAGCCATAACTCTCTTCCAAGGCTTTTACAAAACCTTCCTGCCTTCCAAGAAGGTTTGCTTCTCTTTCCTATAATTTCCTCTTACAATTTTTCCCACCGCCATGACTGAACTCCTACATCTCTCCCTTTTGTTTTTAGCATCAGGTTTTGTTGGAGAGTACAGATGTGTGCAGCAGCAGGTCTGTCAGGCATGGTGGTCACTGCTCGTATTCTGGCTTTGCATCCTAGAATTGGTAAATAACATAAGACAAACATGAGTATAATTTGCAACTTTCTTTTCCAATCAAGGAGTGACTTGTAGTGTTACTTGGCAATTTAGTTTGATGTGTGCTGTGACTAAGGAACCCCATTGAGGGTATGTTAATCCCTCTCCGTTAAGCAGTTGTGTTGTTAGAAGCTGGGAAGGGGGTGTTTGTCAAAGTAACAGGGCAGAAGAAACGCGGATTTAAGAGATAAGTCCAAAAGAGTGTAGCAGGTACCAGTTGTAAGCAGAACGAGAGAATAAAAAAGGAATAAATTATTTGGAGCGAATGGTGTGTTTAAAGCAGGATTTGCTTAGCCTTCTGAGTTGTCTTCTTCAGCATTCTGTCTGGGTCCTGTGTCATCCACAGAAGCCGCATTGTCTGGGGCTGCGGGTCCTATAGGGTCATTTTCTTCATTTCTGGTACTGGGTTGGGTCCTAGCCATACCATAATATGGTTTGATGCATTGTGCTGGAATCCAAAGAGGACCTGAGGGGGTATGAACAAAAGCATATCCTCTTCTCCATGTTAGCAAATCATTTGGACCACACCATTCATTAGTGTTTACACCTTTCCATAAAACTGCAGGTTTTATGTCTTGAGAGGTTTTAGCAAAGTGCTTTTGTGACAGCTGATTGAAATTTATCATCTAAATTTAAAAGATTAAGCAGTGCTCTACACATTCGGAGAAACTTCTCTAGAAACAAACTATAGAAATGATCCCTGAAAGTATAGTCTTTGGGTAAGTTGAAATTGTTATAGTTAAGTTTCTCCAATTTTGGTGGAAAAATTGATGCAATTGGGTGGCTTGGTCAAGCAGTGATGTCATAACCCAAAGGTCTGCTTGATCATTGCCGTAAGCCAAGGGGCCAGGCAGTGAGCTGTGGGCTCAAATATGTGTGATAAAAATAGGATGTGTACATTGATCTAGCAATTGCTGACGTCAGAGGAAAAGAGCACGTGGGGCTGGCTCCAGAGTGGACTTAATTAGTGCGGTCTCAAGGTTCTGCAATAAATAAACAGAGTAAGGCCGGGCTTGGTGGCTCACGCCTGTAAGGCCAGCACTTTGGGAGGCAGAGGTGGGTGGATCACGAGGTCAGGAGTTCAAGACCAGCCTGGCCAAGATGGTGAAACTCCATCTCTACTAAAAATACAAAACTAGCAGGGTGCGGTGGCAGGTGCCTGTAATCCCAGCTACTCAGGAGGCTGAGGCAGGAGAATCCTTGAACCTGGGTAGCAGAGGTTGCAGTGAGCAGAGATCACGCCACTGCACTCCAGCCTGGGCAATAGAGTGAGACTCTGTCTCAAAATAAATAAATAAAAAAACAAACAAACAAATGGAGTAAGCAGAGTCACTAACAATATTGATGGGCTGAGCAGAAAAAGTCTCCAAAGCCAGTATTAAGGCTCCAACCTCTGCTCTTTGATTGCTAGTAAACCCAGAACAAGTGAGGGAATTACATGGTCTCCACCAGACTACCACTTTTCCATGTTTACCTGAGCATCAGTAAACAGTGTTAAAGCATTAGGTATGGGGGAGGGAACTACTTTTGTAGGCATAATTACAGGAGTACGAGATAAGAACTGAAGCAGTTTGTCAGTAGGGAGGGTATGTTCTAAATGGCCTGTGTCATCAGTGAGTGGTATCTGAAGATCTAAAGAGAGGGGCAATACTGCTTCAAATTGCCTTTGACTCAAAGGAATTCTTATGACATCAGGGTCATAACCTAGCAACTGATTACATCATCTGCAGCCTGAATAGATGACTTTACTAAGTAGCTGGATATAGGGAGAGAGTGTTTTAGTCCCAGTATGTGAGCAAGAAACCCATTCTAAAAAGTGCAGTCCTGGGCTCATCTGTCCTATTAACCCTGCAGGGGAATGTTTAGTGGGGAAAATAAACAACTGGACAGAATATTGAGTGTCCATGCAATCCATTTGCCTTTGGGAAATAGCTTGCTCTATGTCTTCAATTTCCCTTTTTGCTGCAGTGGTCAAATACCTGGGAGAATCCAGGGCTATATTGCCCTTTAAGATAGAAAACAGGTTTTGCAACTTCTTGCAACTTATCAGTAGATATGCCCAAGATGGGGCAAAGCCAGTTAATATCACCCAATAATTTTTGATAATCATTTAAGGTGCATAAGTTGCTAGTATTTAATTTAACCTTTTGAGTTCTTACTGACTGGGAAGTTAGTATGTACCCAAGTTATTTCCAAAGAGAAGACATCTGTACTTTTTCAGATGCTGTGATTAAACCTCTTAGGTATGTATTCTTTACGACAGAGGTATATAAGTTTACAAGTACTGTCACCTTTGGGGCTGCTAATAAAATATCATCCATAAAATGAATAATCTTGCAGTCAGGAAATTCTTTTCCACTGGGGAGCAAAGCTTGCTTTACATAATACTGACACATGGTAGGACTGTTTAGCATCCCCCGAGGAAGCACTTTCCAATTAAATCAGCAAGGTGGCCTCTCATTATTGATAGCTGGTATCGTAAAGGCAAATTTTTTTCTGTCCTGTTCTGCTGTGGGAATAGTATAAAAACAGTCTTTTAAGTCAATAACGATTATAGGCCATCTCGAGGAATCGCCGCCGCGGATAGAAGGCCCTGTTGAAGGGGCCCCATAGGTTGCAAATTAGCATGAATAGCACGTAAGTCATGCAAAACTCTCCATTTACCAGACTTTTTGGGAATGACACAAATGAGCTAATTCCAAGGGCTGTTTGATGGTTCTATATGGCCGGCTTTTAATTGCTCCTCAACTAATTCATGGGCTCTTTAATTTCTCTCCCTTCAGAGGTTACTGTTTTACTTAAATTGGACTTGAAGAGAGTCACCTTAGGGGTAAGGGAGAAATAACAGTGGCCATTATTAGAAAAGGGTTTTTCAAATTCTTAAATTTTACTTAAATTTTAGCAGAGAATTATAATCTGGGACGTCACTTGTATACAAGGAACACATGAAATTTTGCTGTGGGCCACCTGCAGAGCACAGCGGTGTGGGTCCCAGGGTGGCAGCTGCATTGTGCTCGCTTAGGCGCGACTTTCTGTCTGCGCCATTCTCTCCCACTGCCGCCAGGTGGCTGCTGCCGGCCGGCCAGACCCTGTGGGCCCAGGCACTGTGAGCTTCCCTGCCCCTGAGCCTTTTCTTCCGCCCATAGCCCACTTGGCTGCGTGGCTCCGGCCTCTAATGCCTTTTTAAAAATCTTCTTATAAGCATCAAAAGAAATGGGTTTATATACCTGATTGCCTGTTGATCTTGCATTACCAGGCAGGCTAAGAGCTCCCCTTCTAATGCCGCTTGCCTAAGACAGGGTCCCATAGCTGTAGTGTATCCCTTGTCTTTTATCCAATTTATTGGAGGAGGGGGCTCAGGCAAAACCTCCATTTCTTCTTTGTTATTTTTGCCTGGAAACAATGGGGCTGAGGGAGATGGAGGCGGGAAGGTAGGTGACGGTTCTTCCTCCTTCCCCTTTTTAGGCTCTTGGGTGTATAACGGGACCTGGGCCGCCCTAACTAAAGTCCATAGCGTTAGAGATGATACTGGGACCCATTGCCCTTGTGCATGATGTTGTTTAAGATGTCTCCCCACTTGTTCCCAGAGCTCTACATCTAGCGTACCTTCTTCTGGGAACCATGGGTTATGGAATACAACAGTTTGCATTAGGTCCCTTAATTGAGCCCGTGAAACCGAGGCTCCACTAGCTTTAAGCAGTAGTTTCAATACTTCTATATACTGTTTAATGACAACATGTTTACCAATTAAATTTTAATTTCTGATTTTGAATAGTATGGAGGAATATTTATTTCTATAGATTTATCTTTATCTTGCTGACTTCCTAAACCCAATTATTAGTTCTAGAAGCTATTTCTATAGATTCCAAAGTATTTTCTACAGAAATAATCATGATGTCTGCAAATTACGATCATTTTGTTTATTAGTTTTCAATTTATTTGCATTTTAAGTCTTCTTTTTTGCCTTGTTATGCTGGCCAGAGCTGCCAATACAATAGTGAACGAAAGTGGTGAGAATAAACACCCTTGACTGTTTCCTGATCATATAGGGAAAGTATTCAGTCTTACACCATTAAGTGTAATGCTAGCTCTAGATTTTCTACAGATGCCCTTTATTAAGTTGAGGACATTTCCTTCTCTCTCTAGTTTGGTAAGAATTTTATTCAAAAAGAGCATTACATTTTGTCAAATTATTTGAAAATATATATTGAGATTAATTTATGTTTTCCCCTTATTTTGTCTATTAGTATGAGCTGTGGTTGGGGATAATTGACTGCAAAAGAACCAAAAGAGCTTTTCTGGATTCACGAGAATTTTCTGGGTCTTGATTATTGGTGGTATTTGTAATCGAATTGTGAATTTACAATGTATGCATTTTCTTGTGTGTTATACTTTTACATAGTTTATTTTAAAAATACATCTGGATTGCATTCTTGTCACCTTATTTTGTTATATCTTCCCCCATTCTGCTGCCTAACATTTGTGCATAGTGATCAGAGCTCTAGCTGCCATCTTACACCTTATCATCTGATATGAGGATGAGAGCCATGGATGCAAGGAATTCTAATCTCTGAGAGCTCTGAGAAACTAAGCTGCCGTATCTAGTCCTGCCCTGACTACTTCTAGATTTTTACCTGAGAGAAAAATAAACCTCAGAAATGTTAACCTATTGTTACTTTTTGGCAACCCTAATTTTAAATACTGAAATAACTGAGTGCAACATGGTACCATAAACATTTGATGCAGAGGAAGTACCAGGAACATTTAATAACGTTCATGATGAGTTATAACTAGTTGGGTTTCAGTAAAAATGCTGTTGGCAGGTGGTGGGGGGTGGGGGGCGGGGGAAGAGAGAGAGAAAGATTTGAAGTGGACCTTAGAAGTGAATATAATTTTAGTAGACAAATGTTGGGGAAACCAGCCCCACACCACCCAGTGGGTACCCCGAGTCCAGCAGAGACAGAGGAGTTAGGAAGAGACAGAATAAGCATTTAAAAGGTGGGTCCAGGGGACCGGAGTGTTGGAGTCCTGGTCATGGCCCAGAGCTCTTGGGCTCCACCCAATTTATTGGTTTACAAGCTCTTTGTTCTTAGGGCAGATGGAAGGGTGAGGAAGGGATGAAGAAAAGGATTAATCAGTGAAGGAGAACTCATGAGTCATTTGATAAGATGTATAGCAGTGGCGGTGTCTGTGAATTTCCTTGAGCAAAGGCGTGTGTCTAAACTACTTAAGATCTTTAACTTACCAGGACTGAAACTGGTGGGAGGATGTTTCAGGAGGAGCCAAGATGTTTGATTATACTCCACTGCTTCAAAGGAGTGTTATCTCCCTGAACAACCTGTGGAATGCTGCTGAGTGGTTATGCTCTCAGGGCATAAAGACGTGAAGGCAATAAGGAGACTTTTCTCCTTGGAGGCTGCCCATGGCTTCCCATGGGTGTCTCACACAGGGGAGACCAACTCATCTGGCACCCCAGAAACTCTCTTTCCTACAACAAATGTGGTAGAAAAGCATTCCAGGAAAAAGACTGTCATTAAAATAGGTGCACAGATGATGAGAGGTAGAAGCATTCAGGTGATGTAGGGGACATGTAGGAAAATAAAAGGACAAAGGGCTAAGTAGTTATGCTGGAGTGCTCTGGAGAACCTGACTGGAGAGCTGGGATTCATTAAGCTGTAAGAAGTCAAGAAAGGTTTCTGGGCAGTGAAGTAATAGGTAAAATTAACCCATGGCAGCCCAGAGAGAAGAAGCAGAATAAATACAGGGAAAGCAGAAAGTATGCTTAAGAAGCAAAACATTCAGTTTAGCTAAAACCTGGGATGTGTTGAGAGGAGTTGGGTATGGAATAGAATAACAACTTTGAATTATTGGCTTGGTATGAACTTATGTCTTTAAAAAGCATAAGTAATTATTTCTGACTTAAAATCAATTTGCCTATAGAATGACATAGCAGTTATATATTAGAATTAGTAAGGCAGTATGGATGAAAATACAAGATTTAAGGCTATTAACATAGTACAGACAAGAGAAAATAAGAATCAGGATCAAAAAATAAGGTAGGAAAGTTTGTGTAGTAATGAAATCAGGAAATGGAGAATGATCACATGTGAGGGACCCTGGGTAAGAGATGAGTCAAGGCTGGCTTTGAGGGTGCAAGTCTGAGATAGTCACTCAACCAAGAATGATGCAACAGAGGTAGTGACTTTCAGGATATAATTCCTCCATTTAACCCTGGGTTGTGACACTCTTCTCTAGAGAAACTAAATTATTCTGCCTATGCTGATACATGGAAAGAAGGGGAGAAGTGTAAAATGCAGAAAATACTATGATAAACATGGGAGACACAGGGTAATTGGAGTTTGAAAAGGAGAACGGATTTAAAAATAGGGCAATGTTTGAAGAGATAATCACTAATAATTTTCCAAGCAATGAAAGATACCAAGCAACAAATTTAGGTAGCTTTACAAATATCAAGCAGGTAAAAATTATATAAAGGAAACATTACATAAGTATATAATACAAAATAAGAGCATTCAAAACAGAACAATTTAAGTCTGACAGCCAACTTACTAATAGAAAAGATGGGAGTCAGTAAGCAATGGGAGAATTTCTTCAAAGTGTTGAAAGAAAATAATCACCAGCGTAGAATACACTTCTATCCCCATTGAATACATGCTTTAAAAAGGAAGGCAATATAACCTTGCTGGACAAATGAAACCTGAGATAATCTATCATTAGTGAAATAGGCCTAAAGGAAATAATAAAGGGTCTTCTTCAGGCAAAAAGAAAGGATGCCAGATGGAAGAATAATAATGAAGTAATTAATGAAGAAGAATATACACAACAAAAATATGAGCCAATGCTTTTCCCACTGTGCAACTTTCCCTCTCTGTACTTTACTAGTCCATATAATCAGCTCCACTGGTAACAGCATGCACATTGATTATCTCCGCTTGCTCTATGATGTGTCAACCTTGGTGAACCCTTACTCTAAATAGGTATGTTTTCCAGACTGTTAGGAATATATCTTTTAAAATACTGAGATATTTTAATTGTAACCATTTGAAACTGACACTTCCAAACATACAGTATACATTTATATTTTTCATAAAAACACATGGCAATTGTTTATTTTGGCATTATTTTATAAGATAAGGATGGGCCCATGGATGGGTATAGTGTGATTTTTCTCCCACATTAAGTAAACTAACACTTTCGTTTATTGAGTCACCTGTCACTTTAGTCAATAAGCCTACCTGTAATAGCTTCTCAATCTATAATTTGATATTTCTAACCTGCTGTGGAATCAGAAAACAAGTGATCAGGCTTATTATCTGCTTGTTTATCAAACCTGCAAATACTAGATGCAAGATGAATTTTTTGGAGGGAGAAAAATGGCAAGCTATTTCCAAATTATTTTTTTTATAAATTAGGTTTAATCTCGATAACTAAACTTTTAATATCTATTATTCATGAATATGTATACAAAAATTATCAGTGAAACAGCCACTAAAATTAGAAAACACATTAGTAAAGAGAATTCAACATTATATTAAGAAAATAATACATTACGACCAAGTAGGATTTATTCTAAGAATCCAATGATAATTGAGTGTTATGAAATTCTTTAATTCAGCATATTAATAGATACAAAGAGGAGAAATATGTAATAATTTCCACAGATATTGACAAAGTGGCTGAAAGAATTCTCTAATCATGCTAAGTAAGCATTAACATGATTAGAGTATTCTTTCGACCACTTTTGTCAACATTTGTGGAAAAGGAAGCAATAAGAAATTCTTCCTTAACATGATTAGTCCTCAACTCAGCATCTCACTTACTTAATGGGGAAATACTGGAAACTTTCCACTAAAATCAGAAACAAGACAAGGATGACCACTATCCACTACTATTCAACATAATAAGAGAGGTACTTACCAATGTGATTTGGCAAAAGACGACAGAGAAATAAACAAAATTACCTCTATTTTCAGATCATATGATAGAGTATGTGTACAATTCAAGAAAATGATAAAAACTCAAGAAAAATAGTAAAGTAACAGAAAATGTAACCAACATAAAAAATCACACTTACAAACAATAACCAGTTGGGAGGTAAAATGGAAGGCAACCCCCTACTTACAACATCAATAAAAACAGAAAGTACTTAGGAAAGACAAACCTTTCTGAGGAAACCATGAAAACACACACCTGTGAAGGATGCAAGTAGACTTGAACAAATTTTTCTTTTTAATACTTTTAAATTTATTTTAAAATCTTTAGATATTTAAATAATATTTAAAACATTTAAGTATAATTACTAATTAAATATTAACATTTATATATAATTTAGTAGTTTGAAATTCACTACAACACTTCTACACTTAAAATAATGTCACTGGCACATGAAAGACAGACCAAATAGAACAAAATTAAAAGTCCCTAAATAGTCCCAGGAACACGTAGAAATTTAGCATAATGCTATAAGTTATACGTAATGAGTTTCTCTGAATTTCTAAAATGATTCTAAAACAATTTTATTTGCATAAAAAGATTGAACAAAAGAATGAGTTCTTACTGTGGGAAAAGAAAGTTAAAAATATAGAATCACAGTAGAAAAGGAAAAGTTCGTCAGTGTTTGATTGGATTATAGAAAATATAGACACATAGATGTAGATAAATTAGATATAGCGGTAGATGTAGTTATTTCCCAGCTCTGTCAACTGCAAGGGACTAAAGGTAGTGATATCCGTTAGAAAGAAGCATAGCTAGTATTTAGGTCCTGACATCTAAACACTATTTCATTTTTTTCTAAAAGGAACTAATGATTCTTGGAGAAATGCTAATTCTAGGATTAGAGCAAGAAAAGCTGGCAGTATTTTTGAACACAAAGTTTTGGTGTTGTGGCAAAAATTAAAGGAGTGCTCAAAATCTGATGGGGCTATGTCAAAATGACACAGGAATCAGCTTAAAGGAGCTTTTCACTGACCAAATTTAGATAATTTTGAGCAGAAAATTGAAATCTTTCAGTAATATAACATATTGAAAAAAAGGTGAATTCATAAGTTGATACTTATCCAATAAATAAGAACAAATGTACAAATGAATGAGTGGATATAAGAAATGGGAAAGAAAACCCTTATTTATAGAACAGTGCCAACTAATCATGTGTAAGCTAGAATATGAAAATCTTCATTTTCCAATTATTGTAGTCATAATCGATTATGTAAAGAATCATCAATGGATGCTAAAATCATTGGTTAAAAGATTGTCAAGAAACAGGATATCCACTCAGTCTCAGATTATCAGTTATCAATTACATAGCAGGAAATATAAGGAAGAAATTTTTTTAAATTTTTATTTTTAGTTCCAGGGCATATGTGCAGGATGTGCAGGTTTGTTACATAGGTAAATGTATGCCATGATGGTTTGCTGCACCTATCAACCCATCACCTAGGTATTATGCTCAGCATGCATTAGCTATTTTTCCTAATGTTCTCCCTCCCTGACCCCACCCCACCCCCTGACAGGTCCCAGTGTGTATTGCTCCTCTCCCTGTGTCCTCATTGTTCAGCTCCTACTTATAAGTGAGAACATGTGGTGTTTGGTTTCCTGTTCCTGCATTCATTTGCTGAGGATAATGGCTTCCAGCTGCATCAATGTCCCTGCAAAGGACATATCTCATTCCTTTTTATGGCTGCATAGTATTCCATGGCATATATCTACCACATTTTCTTTATCTAGTCTATTGCTGATGGGCATTTGGGTTGATTCCATGTCTGTGCTATTGTGAATAGTGCTGCAAGGAACATACATGTTCATGTATCTTTGGAACAGAATGATTTACATTTCTTTGGGTACACATCCAGTATGGGATTGCTGGGTCAAATGGTATTTCTGGTTTTAGATCATTGAGGAATCACCACAGTGTCCTCCACAATAGCTGAAATAATGTACATTCCCATCAACAGTGTAAAAGTGTTCCTACTTCTCCGCAAACTTGCCAGCATCTGGTGTTTCTTGACTTTTTAATACTGGCCATTGTGACTGGTATGAGATGGCATCTCATTGTGGTTTTGATTTGTATTTCTCTAATGATCAGTGATGTTGAGCTTTTCTTCATGTTTGCTGGCCGCATAAATGTCTTCTTTTGAGAAGTGTCTGTTCATGTCATTTGCCCACTTTTTAATGTTTTTTTTTCTTGTAAATTTGAGTTCCTTGAAGATTCTGGATATTAGACCTTTGTTGGATGGATAGATTGTAAAAATTTTCTCCCACTCTGTAGGTTGCCTGTTCACTCTGATCAGTTTTTTTTTTCTGTGCAGAAGCTCTTTAGTTTAATTAGACCTCATTTCTCAATTTTTGCTTTTGTTGCAATTGCTTTTGGCAATTTCATCATGAAATCTTTGCCTGTGCCAATGTCCTGAATAGTATTGCCTAGATTTTCTTCTAGGGTTTTTATAGGTTTGGGTTTTACATTTCAGCCTTTAATCCACCTTGAGTTAATTTTTGTATAAAGTGTGAGGAAGGGGTCCAGTTTCAATTTTCTGCAAATGAATAGCCAGTTCTCCCAGCACCATTTATTAAATAGGGAATTCTTTCCCCATTGCTTTTCTCTGGTTTGTCAAAGATCAGATGGTTGTAGACAGGCAATCTTATTTCTGAGTTCTGTATTCTGTTCCATTGGTCTGTGTATGTTTTTGTACCAGTACCATGCTGTTTTGGTTATTGTAGCCTTATAACAAAAAGTCTGGTAGTGTGATGCCTCCAGCTTTGTCTTTTTGCTTAAGATTGTCTTGGTTACATGGGCTTTTTTTGGTTCCATATGAGTTTTAAAACATTGGTTTTTTTCGGCCGGGTGCGGTGGCTCACGCCTGTAATCCCAGCACTTTGGGAGGCCGAGGCGGGCGGATCATGAGGTCAGGAGATCGAGACCATCCCGGCTAAAATGGTGAAACCCCGTCTCTACTAAAAATACAAAAAAAAAAAAAAAAAAAAATTAGCCGGGCGTAGTGGCGGGCGCCTGTAGTCCCAGCTACTTGGGAGGCTGAGGCAGGAGAATGGCGTGAACCCGGGAGGCGGAGCTTGCAGTGAGCCGAGATCCCGCCACTGCACCACTCCAGCCTGGGCGACAGAGCGAGACTCCGTCTCAAAAAAAAAAAAAACATTGGTTTTTTTCTAATTCTGTGAAGAATGCCAATGGTAGTTTAGTGGTAATAGCACTGAATCTATAAATTACTTTGGGCAATATGGCTATTTTCATATTAATTATTCCTATTTATGAGCATGGAATATTTTTCATTTGTTTGTGTCCTCTCTGGTTTCCTTGAGCAGTGGTTTGTAGTTTTCCTTGAAGAGGTCAGGTTGATCACTTCCCTTGTTAGCTGTGTTCCTAGGTATTTTATTCTCTTTGTAGCAATTGTAAATGGGATTTCATTCATGATTTGGCTCTCTGCTTGCCTCTTGTTGGTGTATAGGAATGCTTGTTACTTCTGCACATTGATTTTGTATCCTGAGACTTTGCTGAAATTGCTTATCAGTTTAAGAAGCTATTGTGCTGAGACAGAGGGGTTTTCTAGATATAGGATCATGTCATCTGCAAACAAAAACAATTTGACTTTTTCCCTTCCTATTTGAATACCGTTTATTTCTTTCTCTTGCCTGATTGCCCTGGCCAGAACTCCCACTGCTATGTTGAATAGGAGTCATGAGAGGGCATCCTTGTCTTGTGCCAGTTTTCAAGGAGAATGCTTCCAGCTTTTTCCCATTCAATATGATATTGGCTGTGGGTTTGTCATAAATGGCTAGTATTTTAGGTATGTTCCTTCAATACCTAGTTTATTGAGAGTTTTTAACATGAAGGAATGCTGAATTTTACTGAAGGCCTTTTACGTTTATTGATTTGCATATGTTGAACTAGCCTTGCATCCCTGGAATGAAGCCAACTTAACTATGGTCAATAAGCTTTTTGATGTGCTGCTGGATTCAGTTTGCCAGTATTGAGAATTTTTGCATTGATGTTCATCAGTGATATGGGCCTGAAGTTTTCTTTTTTTGTTGTATCTCTGCCAGGTTTTGGTATCAGGATGATGCTGGCCTCATAGAATGAGTTAGGGAGGAGTCCCTCCTTTTCAAGTGTTTGTAATAGTTTCAGTAGAAATGGTATCAGCCTCTCTTTGTATTTCTGGTAGAGTTCAGCTGTAAATCCATCAGGTCCTGGTCTTTTTTTGGTTGGTAGGCTATTTGTTACTGCCACAATTTCAGAACTTGTTATTGGTCTATTTAGGGATTCAGCTTCTTCCTGGTTCAGTCTTGGGAGGGTGGATGTGTCCAGGAATTTGTCCATTTTTACTAGACTTTCTAATTTATTTGCATAGAGCTGTTTATAGTATTCTCTGATTATTGTATTTCTGTGAGGTCAGTGGTGATATCCCCTTTATCATTTTTTAAATTATCTATTTGATTCTTCTCTATTTTCTTCTTTATTAGTCTAGCTAGTGGTCTATTTTATTTTTTCATTGATTCATTGATTTTTTTGAAGGGTTTTTCCTGTCTCTATCTCCTTCAGTTCCACTCTGATCTTGGTTATTTCTTGTCTTCTGCTAGCTTTGGGGTTTGTTTGCTATTGGTTCTCTAGTTCTTTTAGTCGTGATGCTCTGTGTGTCAATTTGAGATCTTGTTTTTTGATGTGGACATTTAGTGGTATAAATTTTCGTCTTAACACTGCTTTAGCTGTGTCCAAGGCATTCTGGTACATTGTCTCTTTGTTTTCACAGGTTTCAAATAACTAGATTTCTGCCTTGATTTCATTATTTAACCAGGAGTCATTTAGGAGCAGGTTGTTCAATCTCCATGTAATTGTATGGTTTTGAGTCCTAATTTGATTGTGCTGTGGTCTGAGAGACTGTTATTATTTCAGTTATTTCGCATTTGTTGAGGAGTGATTTATTTCCAATTATATAATCAATTTTAAAGTACCTTGTGGTGCCAAGAAAAATGTATATTCGATTATTTTGGGGTGGAAAGATCTGCAGATATCTATTAGGTCCACTTGATCCAGAGCTGAGTTCAAGTCCTGAATATCTTTGTTATATTTTCTGTCTCGATGATCTGTCTCATATTGACAGTGGGGTGTTAAAGTCTCCCAGTATTATCGTGTGGGAGTCTAAGTCTTTTGTAGGTCTCTAAGGACTTGTTTTATGAATCTGGGTGCTCCTGTCTTGGGTGCATATATATTAAGTATAGTTAGCTCTTCTTGTTGAATTGACCCTTTTACCAATATATAATGCCTTTGTCTTTTTTGATCTTTGTTGCTTTTAAGTCTATTTTGTTGCTTTTAAGTCCATTTTGTAAGAAACTAAAATTGCAACTCCTGCTTTTTTCTGTTTTTCATTTGCTTGCTAAATTTTCCTCAATCCTTTTATTTTGAGTCTATGTGTGTCTTTGCATGTGAGATGGGTCTCTTGAATACAGCACACTGATGGACTTTGACTCTTTATCCAGTTTGCCACTCTATGTCTTTTAATTGGGGCATTTAGTTCATTTACATCTAAGGTTAACATTGTTATGTGTAAATTTGATCTTGACATCGTGATGCTAGTTGGTTATTTTGCAGACTTGTTTATGTATTTGCCCCATAGTGTCACTGGTCTGTATATTTCAGTGTGTTTTTTGTAGTGGCTGGTAACAGTTTTTCTTTTCCATATTCAGTGCTGCCTTCAGGAGCTCTTGCAAGGCAGGTCTGGTGGTGATGAATTCCCTCAGCATTTGCTTGTCTGAAAAAAAAATTTCCCTTTCACTTATGAAATTTACTTTGGCCAGATATGAAATTCTAGGTTGGAAATTCTTTTTTTTTTGTATTTATATCACATTTATTTTTATTTTTGAAATTTCACATTTCATGTCATTTTCATTTTTTTTTATTATTTTTTATTTTATTATTATTATACTTTAAGTTTTAGGGTACATGTGCACAATGTGCAGGTTAGTTACATATGTATACATGTGCCATGCTGGTGTGCTGCACCCATTAACTCGTCATTTAGCATTAGGTATATCTCCTAATGCTATCCCTCCCCCCTCCCCCCTCCCCCCACCCCACAACAGTCCCCAGAGTGTGATGTTCCCCTTCCTGTGTCCATGTGTTCTCATTGTTCAATTCCCACCTATGAGTGAGAATATGCAGTGTTTGGTTTTTTGTCCTTGCGATAGTTTACTGAGAATGATGATTTCCAGTTTCATCCATGTCCCTGCAAAGGACATGAACTCATCATTTTTTATGGCTGCATTGTATTCCATGGTGTTCCTTGATGAACATTGATGCAAAAATCCTCAATAAAATACTGGCAAACTGAATCCAGCAGCACACCAAAAAGCTTATCCACCATGGTCAAGTGGGCTTCATCCCTGGGATACAAGGCTGGTTCAATATATGCAAATCAATAAATGTAATCCAGCATATAAACAGAACCAAAGACAAAAACCACATGATTATCTCAGTAGATGCAGAAAAGGCCTTTGACAAAATTCAACGCTTTATGCTAAAAACTCTCAATAAATTAGGTATTGATGGGACGTATCTCAAAATAATAAGAGCTATCTATGACAAACCCACAGCCAATATCATACTGAATGGGCAAAAACTGGAAGCATTCCCTTTGAAAACTGGCACAAGACAGGGATGCCCTCTCTCACCACTCCTATTCAACATAGTGTTGGAAGTTCTGGCCAGGGCAATTAGGCAGGAGAAGGAAATAAAGGGTATTCAATTAGGAAAAGAGGAAGTCAAATTGTCCCTGTTTGCAGATGACATGATTGTATATCTAGAAAACCCCATTGTCTCAGCCCAAAATCTCCTTAAGCTGATAAGCATCTTCAGGAAATTCTTTAAGACTGTTGAAAATTGTCCCCAATCTCTTCTGGCTTGTAAAGTTTCTGCTGAGAAATCTGTTGTTTTTCTGATGGGCTTTCCTTTTTAGGTGACCTGGCCTTTTTCTCTGGCTGCCCCACACATTTTTTTTCCTTCATTTTGACTTTGGAGAATCTGACAATTATGTGTCTTGGAGTTGATCTTCTCATGGAGTATCTTACTGGGGTTCTCTGGATTTCTTGAATTTGAATGTTGGCCTGTCTTGCTAGGTTGGGGAAGTTCTCCTGGATGATATCCTGAAGTGTATTTTCCAACTTGATTCTGTTCTCCTCATCTTTTTCAGGTACCTCTGTCAGTCTTAGGTTCAGTCTTGTAACATAATCCCATAGTTCTTGAAGGTTTTGTTTGTTCCTTTTCATTCCTTTTTCTCTAATCTTGTCTGCCTGTCTTATTTCAGCAAGATTGTCTTCAAGCTCTGATATCCTTTCTTCTGCTTGGTCTATTTGGCTATTGATACCTGTGTTTGCATTATGAAATTCTCATGTTGTGTTTTTCAGCTCCTTTAGATCATTTATTTTCCTCTCTACACTGATAATTCTGGTTAATAGCTCCTGTAATGTTTTATCATGGTTCTTAGCTTCTTTGTAGTGAGTTAGAACATAATCCTTTAGTTCAGCAAAGTTTGTTATTTCCCATCTTCTGAAGCCTACTTCTGTCAATTCATCCATCTCAGCCCAGTTCTGTGCCCTTGCTAGAGATGTGCTGTGACGTTTTAGAGGAGAGGAGGCACTCTGGCTTTTTGAGTTTTCAGCATTTTTGTGTTTTTGCATTGATTCTTCCTCACCTTCATGGGTTTATCTACCTTTGATCTTTGAGGCTGCTGACTTTTGGATGGGGTTTTTGTGGTTTCTTTTTTGTGGATATTGTTGCTTTCTGTTTTTCTTTTAGTAGTCAGGTCCCTCTTCTGTAGGGCTGCTGTGGTTTGCTTGGGGTCCACTCCAGCCCTTATTCACCCTGGTCTCTCGTTCCTGAAGATATCACCAGTGGAGGCTGCAGACCAGCAAAGATGGCAGCCTGCCCCTTCCTCTGGGAGCTCTGTCCCAGAGGGGTACTGGCCTGATGCCAGCCGGAATGCTCCTGTATGAGGTGTCTGGAGACTCCTGTTGGGAGGTCTCAGTCAGGGGGAGCAGGGTCAGAGACCTGCTTAAATAAGTAGTCTGTCTGCCCCTTGGGAGGGCAGGTGTGCTGTGCTGGGGGGAGTCCCCCTTGTCTGGGCTGCCCTGACTCTCCAGAGGAGCAGGCAGAAAAGACTAAGATCACTGATCCAGGATACTGCAGCCACCCCTCCTCCTAGGATTTCCTCTGGTGGTTATCAGTGTTCTGTCCATAAACTCCTGGCTGGAGATGATGGTGAGATTCCCACAGGGAGGCCCCGCCCACCGAGGAGGACTGGATCCGGGTCCTGCCCCATCTAAGGGAAAGTGGCGACTGGAGCCGCAGTGATGGTGGCCGCCTATTCCCTGGGGAACTCCGTCTTCTTAGGCAGTTTGTAGTCCACTGTGCTGACAGACAGTGATGCCAAGCCAGTGGGTTTTAGCTTGTGGAGTTCCATAGGAGCGATGCTACCTGTCTCCCTGGCTTCAGCCCCCTCCCCACGAGAGTGGATGGATCTCTTGCCTCATGGGAGTTCCCAGAGCTGGAGTATGTAAATACTCCTGTGTCAGTGCCTGCTCAAAATGGCCACCCACAGGAACAGCCCACCGGAGCAGCTGCCATGATTCTTCACAGCCTTGTGCTTTGGACCCAAGGCTCTGGTAGTGTAGGCTCAGGAGGGGCCTCCTAATCCACAGGTTGCAAGGATCCCTGGGAAAGCCCTGGTTTTCAGGGAGGGGAAGCACAATCCCTCACCGTCTCCCTTGGCTGGGGGAGGGAGTTGCCTTTGCTGCATGCAGCCCCCAGGTGGGGTCTTGCTCTACTCTGTTTTTGCTTGCTCTCTGTGGGTCACGCCAACCACCTAGTCAGTTCCTATAAAAAGAACTTTGGTACTTCAATTGAAGATGCAGAGTTCACTCAGTTTTGTCCTTCTTTGTGGGAGCTGCAGAGTGGAGCTGCCTCTATTCAGCCATCTTAGTTCCACCCCAAGAAGACATTTCAAGTCTACCAACTTACCAAATGTTTTAACTTAATATTATTAGTAAAGGGACAATTAATATCATTTGCCTTATTTTAGAAATGACTGAGACTACCTCATCATCTATGTAACATTTCCTCCGAATGTATTTATTCTAAATCTAGTCATGAGGAAACCATATAAATTCAAAATGTGGGATATTCTGATAAACAACTGGCCTGGACTCTTTGAAGCAAGAGAGATTGATCCATGTGAAAAGTGTATGGTTGTCTATTGAACTATTCTTGAAACTTTGCTCCTAGTGAGGGAACATAACACAGAATAAATTGTCAAAAGAAAACGCATCAATGGGCTCTGAGTAGAATGCCTAAAGTACAGTCATGTAAATCATATGCATGTTTCAGGTATGCTTAAACCCACATCACCCCCATTTTTAGGAGTTCTTACTTTCTGATTTTCACTTGGGTTTCACATAGGAAATGTGTTGGACTGCTAAGCGAGAGTCTCTAATATAAGTAATAAAAATAGCCATGAAGAAAAATACAAGCATATATAAAATAACTGTATCATTAGTTGCATAGCAAAACAAGATTGTGAAGTGTCCTTTATAATCTTGTATTATTACAAAATATAAATTGTAAAGAATATTCTCCTTGTTGTGGCCATCCAGCATCTTATGCACAACATTGCTATTAATGGAGAAATTCCCACCTTGTATATTCCTTTTGTCCAAGAAGAGCCAGACTCTCTCCCCTAGATTACCTTCTAGGTGCATCACAAGGGATGTAGTAAATTGAGTTCTGCCAATCAGATACATTCATGAAAGTCTTTTGTAATTGATTCATGTGAAAAGAGAGTATGCAGAGTCTGTCTTTCAGTAAGCAAGGCAGAAGAGGTACCAGCCTTTTGATGCAAAGAATGAAAAACTTTGTGTCTTGTAGTCACCAGCATCTTCACTGCAATCTGGAAGGTCTGGGCTGCAGCAGGCCTTGATGTGTGGCTTGGGTACCATTCCTAGTTGTATAGCCCCTACTTTGGTTCTCTGGCTCTCTAAGAAAACTGGTGAGCATCCTAATTTCCTTTGGCAAAGTTCTTTTCTGTTTAAACTAACTAGAGTAAATTTTGGTTTTGCTAATGAGAACCCTGTCAGGTATGACACTAACTGACTTCTTGATTTACCATTATCCATGGAATCTTAGGATAGTCTGTTAGAAAAGTACTACTCCATTGGACACCCTTCTACCATTTTTACATCTGCATATTCAGTTTTACACCCAAATAATTATATGTTATGAGCAGTGATGACAGAATGTGTTATTAAACATAAAAACATGAGAACTATTATAATGTTTACAAGGTCATAACTTCATTTTTAAAGATGGGCCAACCTGGTGGTTTTTGGATTATGAAAACACTTCCAAATACCTTTCAGTGATCTTTTAGTTTGTCAAAATCTCCATCACATCTGGTGACTTTGAGATATTTAATCCATATGTTTCTAATTTACATTGAGTCAACTCATTCCAGTAAATCTCCAGGATGATAAAAGAGTGCTCAAGAAGGTAAAGAATCTGTTAATGAATTTTTTTGCTGGTCGTATATTCTTGAGCACTTCCAGTCTGGGAGAGTTGGAAATAAGTTCAGAACTTGGCTCAATTATTTGTCTTTATCTCAATATGAATTTCATTTGAAACTGAATCATGGCACTATACCCTATGCTACTTGTTTCCTTGGTAGTCTACCCATTCTTCATTTTGTGCGTAGCTGAAATACAATCTGGATGCCCTCATGAGTTGGATTCATTTTTCCTGGTTTAAAGTTTACATGACTGGAAAATGTCAGTGATTTAGGTCCACACTGATAGAGTACAAAATAATTTTTTTCCACCCCATCAACTCCATTTGCTTTGGATTTAAGCTGAGGGACACAGTTATTGATGAGGCCATAGCAAAAAGAGTGTTAAGATTTTTGTAGTTCTTGGCTAAACACTCCAGCTCCCTGCTACCAACTATCACCAACCAATCTGTCCCAATTAAACTCCATTGAATTAAGCTTCTTAATCCAATAGGCAAATTCACAACTCACTGGCAGTATTTTATTTCTGTTGCATAAAATTCAGCGTCCACATTAGTGTATGTCTATCCCAGGAGGCTGTGTGCCCTCTCCCCAATAGTTTCTATTCTTGGAAGAGATGTTAGAATGACTGGGGATGAGATCATAACTTGGGGCACAAGTTAACCTTAAAATTTTTTTAGGAACTTTATTCATTATCAACAAAAATGTATTGAACCCTAGATGTATTGAACCCTAGCGTGCTGAGGGGACTGGGCTAGCTACTGTAGAGGATGTCATATACCATTCTCCCCTTCTTCAGTATGCTCCAACCATATTTACAGTCTTTCAGTTCCATATCTCTGCAAGGTATTTCTTGCCTCAAATCCACATACACGCTGTTCACTCTGCCTGTGTGCACGTCCCCTCCTTGTTTATTCCCACAAATAGACATTTGTTATTCCCAGCTGACTCTTCCTTATCCTTAAGGCCTCAGATTAAATGTACCTTCTTCAGAGAGGTGGTCTCTCATCACCAAATATAAGTTCTTCTTCCTGGCACCCACTGCCTTTATTGTACATCATAATCTGTGATTATTCATTTAATTGTTTTCTTGTTTAATTTCTCTCTCCCACAAAACTATAAGCTTCACAAGGGCAAGGACCAAGTCTGTTCTGTTAACCACTGTGCAACCAGGGTTTCTAGTGCAGGGTCTGGCATGTGGCTGACACTCCACATAAACCCATTGAGAGGTAGTTTCCTGTTCTCATTTTAATCTGATGGAAAATGTGTTTAATTAAACATGTAAATAGGTTAGTAGACAGTATGTTTATGTCCAAGAGACGAATTCAATAAATAAATACACAGCTATCATTCCCTAACAGTAGTTTCTTCTGCAAATTAGTCTAAACAGAGATTTCCTGGCATTCTCTTCAGACATTGCTGTGAACTTGGGCCAAATAATAAAGGTCATAAAACTTTCTCCCACTCAATTCATTTGTGCTTATATTATGTTCGCTCCAAAGCTGGAGGAACGGAAGTGGCTTTTCATCATTGGGAAATGAAAAAATGCAATGAGTAACCCATTGTTTTGATACCATTTTATATTAATCATCTGAATGCTTCATTTCTCTCATCCTTGCTGTTAACTATTCTTACCAGAAGTTAATAAGCTTCCAACATTTCTGTACATGAGCTAAGAGAGAAGAAAAAAAAAAGACTAGGCATGATTTCAAATTATTCCAGTCATCTGTCCTGTTTGGGTGACCTGCATTCCTTCAGTCTACCAGTAAAATGCTAGGCATGCCTGACTGAGTGAAAATGGAAGACAAGCCTTCAAATTCCATGTTACTGAAGTGTTGAAACCAGTTTTAATGAAACATGGGAAAACAATAGCCAACAAGGGGAAGTCTGGAATTTCATAGAATTAGAGACTTGAATTTCATAGAATTAGAGACTTCATGTCTTCCCTGTTGATTCCTTGAAGTCATCTCCTAATGAAGGAACCCTTTCTCCAATGACCTTTAATTAGTATTGTTTCTGTCCCAACCTTTCTGCTCTGCTGCCTTCCATATGATGGGAATTGGGAAAGTTGAGCAGCCACCTGGGGTGCTATGAAAGATCAAGCACATTGGAGGCCCTTCAGATATCCATAGCACAGTAGACATTGGAAACACAATGAGGAAAGGGCACATAGATGTCCCATAACCCATTCACCAGAACACAGTATGGATAAGAGACAGGAGAAGGGACAGGGATATCTGTTTCTGTCTTCACTGTCAACAAAGCTTCAGAATTGGCCCTCCATCTAAATAGTCTTTCATTTTTCACACCATAGTCAACCTCTCTCATGACCTAAAATGTCCCTGCCCCATGCAATACAATCTATTTAGAGAACCCAATGCCCTAGTAGGTGCTGGGCCTTCTATTTCCCACTACAATCACAAAAAGAACAGCAGTGGCTTTTGCCCTTGGGAAGCTCGTTGTCTTGGAACTGGGGGTGAAAATGGGGATTGCTAAGGGGACCTGGAAATACGGCAATGTATTAAGTTCCATAATGAAAGTATATCAATATACTGTGATAATACAGAGGAGAAGAGATTCCACGTGGAGTTTTGGGAATAGTGGGAAACCTTCTAGAATGTAAGTTCCCCAAAGCCAGTCACGGGCCAACCTTGTAAGCCTTTTTTTTTTTTTTTTCTGGATATCAGTCTCAGGCCTGCTACATTAACTTCTTTCTGCACACCTGTTCATTTATTTGTGTATACATGTAGTCATATAATTAGAAGAATAGCCATTGAATTTGTATTATAGTTTCAATTTATGTTAAAGAATACTGGATCTTCCCTATAATATATAAAACAAATTTAATACCTATTTTTAGTGGTATGCTGGAGCTATTCTGTAACTGCATGTTAGAGCCAATTATTAAATCTCCAGGAATTTTGTGAGCTACTCACTTGCAATCACCTATAACAGGAATATTCACACCAAAGAAATTGGCAAGTTCTGCAGATCAGGACTTCCCCGTCTCCATGAAGAGCTGGTTATTAAACATTGAACAGCATACCTTTGCTGTTGAAAGGAAAGAGTGAGAAAGTAAAAAGAATAAACTTTCACACCTAATAAATAAAATCCCTATTCAGATTTATTTATTCATTCATTTAAATTTATTTAATAAATGTGAAATACAGAAGAAGTTCTGCAGCTAAATTCACTGACTATATGGAGCTTACAATCTAGTAGGAGAGCCAGATGATACACACAAACATAGTGGAGCAAAATATTCTCATCTTAGTCTGTCATTTCCTTCACTACCATAGAAGACTCAGAAGGAAGAGTAGTGTTTTTTCTTCTCCTACTCTGAGAAGCTTTATCTGCATTTGGGCTGTGCAATCTTTAATAAATACAGTGATGCAAGCTTTCCTGAAGCCGATCCCCCACCTCCAACAAATAAATGAATAGGCTTTTGTTTGGCAAGTAAAGGACAAATGACAGAGGCTGCTACTGAGAGTAGAGAGGGAGTACTGGCCTTCCCAGAGGAAAAAGTGCTGGTGTGTGTGTTTGATCTGGGAGAGCTGTGTACTTTAGGGGTTTAGGGGAGTGGATAGGAAGGGGGCCATCAGCTATAGCGTGACAGGATTGGTACCTTCTTCCTATTCCTATGGTGTACATATGAAATGCTTTGAGGGGTGACAGGGGTTCCAAAGGAATGGCACATGGAAGCCCGGAGGGCATCACCAGGAGGAGCAGTTTTCAGAGCACAACTAAAGATGCTCAGACAGCAAGAGGCAGTAACATTGACAGGGCTCTTACAGTGTTCTGGACACTGTTGTAATCCTTGTGCATGCTTTAACACTGTTAATCCACACAACAGCCCTGTGAGAGGGGTATTGTTTTATGCAAGAGGAAACTGAGGCACAGAGAAGCTGGGGAATTTTCCCACGCAGCTAGAAAGTGTCGATTTCATGCTTGGTTCATTTGGCCACAGAAGCTGTCCTCTTAACCAGTATATTATGTGACCTCATCAAATGAACATACCCACTCTAAATAGACCACAGGGTTTAGACAAAGACCATTTACATAGCAATCATCTTGTTTGGAGGGCTAAGAACTCTTTCTCTATTTTCAGAGCAGTACTTAAGCCCCTAAATTTCAAGGCAGCTCTGGAAACGAAGGGCCAAGCTGTGAACTGTGACTGAGATTGGATTTCTTGCTTCTCTGGCAAATGGGGGCCTTAAATCAAATAGAACAAGTTCTCTGCTTCTCTGCCATAAAGGAGGCCCCAGTCCAGAGGGCTCTGAGATAGGTAAATAAGCAAATCCAATCTCATCTAAAGGTGCTGCCAAAGGCGTCCCCTAGGGACCTCTCACTTGTCTGACACCACCTTTGAGAGAGGTTTCTGCTCTCTAAAAGTCTGTAGTTAGAAAGCAAAGGTTCCAGCTGCTGATGGAGTGCTCAGCCTCTCCAGCCCCACATCTATGACAACATTTGGCTCGCCAGCCAGCCCTGCCCTCCTGCTCAGTTCTTTCTGTTCCACGGACCTGGGAAGGACTTTTCTCGGTTGGTGAGCATGTCTTCATCAGAAAGTCTTCGCAACTCTGACAAGATAAAAGGCATGAACCAAAGAAGAACATGATAGGGAGAGCAATTCAAGTAACATGCAGAGAGGTCCCAGGCAGGCAGAAACACAGGGAAAGGGATGGGTATCCTCAGTGGTAAAACTGGCAGCCATGGCCAAGGTTCATGTCCTTTCCTCTCTTACTGTTTGATTATTAGAGTTTTGCTCTTTCTCAAATGACACTCATGGCTCAGGCCAGCCCACCAACACACTAGTGCTCAGTGAAGCTTCAAGGAAGGCTATTGGGTGCTGAGTTCTTTCATCAGTCTCTAGGCTTTCACTCTCAGTAGTAATTGACTTCTCAAGTTCTATCTGCCTTCAAAGACGAGAAAAAAAGCACTAACTCAGCCCGGTCCCTTTCCCATTTTTCATAAGACACTGAAAGAACCACCATAATTTTTTATATACATAGATTAGATTTACTTTAAAATGGGCATGACTTATCATGGTGAGTGTTTCACAAGTATGTTGGAAACGTATTTAAGGCAGGGAAACTTAAGCCTTTCCACAGTTACTTACATGCCCTGTGAAAAGACAAAGTGTAAATGCCTCAGCTGTCAGCTTAGCGTGATATAAATATATTTTGAGTTATTGTGAAATTGACCTCTCTCTCTGAAGGACGCTTGGGAGTTTTGCCCTTTGGAATCTCATTGGTCCCCCTGAGTTTCTTTTTTGTCTTGCTTACTGCCTGTGAGCCTGCTGTAGGCCTTCAGTAGAAAAGGATGCTTTTGAGTCTATGTGCTCATGCAGTATGTCATTTTGAAGAAAGTCAGCTGCAGTCATAACTGCATTCGCTAAATTGATAAATTCTTTGTGTGAGCTTTGTTCCTTTCCATACAATTCTTTCAGAGGCTCTCTCACCTGTCAGAGATTCTGGAGAGAAAGCTATGAATTCAAGAAATCTGTTTAAAAATATGTCCATTAAGAAAACTCCTCTTTGAAAGCTGAGTCTTCTAAAAACTCTTACTATCGCTTGCTAAAATTAGTTTAATGCAAATACATTGTATAATTGAGTTTAATAGTGAGACTAAGTAGAGAATATTTGCCTAAAATGGCCAAAAATGGCTAGGAGAAGTTTATTCCTATATTACCTATTCTTTGCCTCCTTTTTTGCTTTTTTTCCTCATCTTTTGGCCAAATAAATAAAGTACTGGAGAACCATCCATTCAAGTCCGCTTTGCCAGAATATTTTTCTGGAATTTTCCCTTCCATTCCACAATCCTACTAAGAAAAATTTCATATTAGTGAGCAAATATTTCCCTCCTAAACTGAAATTCTGTTATTTTAGTTCCCACTTGCCAAAGGCAGCGTGATTTGAACATTCCTCTTCACTTAATATCAATCCCCATCAGATAATCATTAAATGAACAGAGGCTGCAGGTTAGAAGGAATGCTAACAATGCAGATAAAGTCCTCATAACTGGCAGCTATGAATTAATTCAGCCAGATCACAGCCCAAGAGGGAGACTGTCAAAAGGAGCAGAGGGGGCTGGGAGAGTTGGCTTTAGTGCCTATAACTTACAGCACCTTCCCCTAGGCCAAGCAGCCTGGCATTTCATATCTAAAGTCATCACAGGAATGAGATGAATTCCATTGTCCTATCTGGCGACTGCTCACCATGGCAAGTCAACCCTCTGTGACTGTTAGAAAGGGAAACAGTCATGTATTTTCACCCACAGGAATGAATTAAAGTGACTGACTGTGAGGGAGCAACTGACCCAACTAGGGGACATTAGGCAAAAGGTCAGTTGACCTCTGGAGCCATTCCATTTCTGGTTTAAGGCCTTGAGAGAATACATGAACAGAGCCTTGGGGAACCAGAGTTCTAATCTTACCCCCTGCTCCTCCTTTCATCTCTCTGAATAGCCTGCTTGTTGATTGGAACTTACCTTCACCATCAGCAAGAACTGACTATTTTGAATTTCTGAGCTCCATGGCCAAGCTCCGCTCGCTTTGGGTTGCTTTGTGTCCTCAACTAACCATTTCAGGCAGGGAAATGTTAGTGTATTCCTGAGTTTCACCAGTAGATGGAAGCATTTTTGACCGTGTGACACTTTTGGCTTCCTAGTCCTAGGAAAAAAAACAATCTTGGATTTCTAGGAAGAGCTGCGAAGCTGAGGCACCAGACCCTTTGTCTGACACAGTGCCTTTTCTGTGTATAAAATACCTTTCCATATTTAAAAAGTGTGAATATTTTGAGAAGAATCAGAAAAGAAGAAATTAGGAAATGGTCAGAGTTTACTTTCAATAGCAACAACTACCTATGTCTCTTAAATCTCTCACACTATTAATTAAGCAATGTAAAATGAAGATCATGATTTATAACAACTTCTAGTTTAGAACAGATATAGTTCTATAGTTCTCCTTAAAGCCCAAAGTATCTTATAAACAAAACACTCCATCCTTAACCAAAGGCCAATGGGAGGAAATAGTTTGACATATGTACTCTGCTCAGCTGGCTGCTGGATTCTAGAGCAAATAATCTTATCATTGAGACCTTATTATAAAATTTCCTTGACCTATGTGTCCTAAGGTTGGTAGGTTTTATTTAGAAACCATAGAATATACTTAACAGAAATGTCAAGGAGATTGTAGGTTATTGCTAATCATTGGCAGTAATTTAAATATAGAGCAATTATGTGTCTTGACATAGTTGATAACTAGATTTTGAAACTGAAATATATTCACTTTCTCACTCTGTACCTCCTAAAGCTGAAACCCAAGGCATGTTCAAATAAAGCTTTGAATAACTTTTCTGCCACTGAAAGAAATTACATCTATAGCCTACGGTTTGAATCATATCAGAAGGAAGACTTGCAGCCCTTGGTGGTATTATATGTCTTATACTAGGGCATTCTTCAGCAAAAGCTCCAGTATTCTGTGATAGCTAGGGGTATCCCAGGGGCACTTTAGGGTATCTGCATATGGATCAACCTAGAAACTTTGCTGATATACTCTTCTAAATATGTTCTCTTCAGAGTAGAGGGGCTAGATAGATAGGTCATCTACATATATATAGTTTCTATATTAACATATAGATATGTGTGTATATATATATGTGTGTATGTGTGTTCATAAAAACACCGAGAATGAAAGGCCACATAACCACACAAGAGAGAATGCATCAAGCCAATGTGGATTTACTCATTTAATTCTGTAATCCTAGAGCTAGCCCTAGCTAGTGCTGACCTTGAAATAGAGAGTATTATGACAAATAAGAGAAGGTACAGTATAGTATTTCCATCCCACCACTTATTTTCTTCTCCAGATACTACTGACATAAGTCCTTTATTTCAGAGACAAGTTTCTTAAAGGAGTTGTCCGTCTCTATTTCTATTTCCTCACTTCCTACTCTTTCTTCAACCTACAGAAATCTAATATTTCCCCTTAACACCCTGACATTTCTTACACAAAGGTGATCAGTGACTTAGACATCCTTAATCTAATGGAAACTGCATTGATTATTTTGACTGCCTAGCAGCATTGAACATTATTCCTTCTTTGTCAAAACAATCTATTCAATTGCTTCTATAGCACACTCTCCTCTGGCATGAGCTTCCTCCATGCCATTTCCCCAGAACTACACTGTTGGCCTTCTACTCTTCTCACTTTATAGTCTCTCCCCAGCCCATTTTGTCCACTTACTACCTATATACTGATTTTTAATCTATGCCTATACCTCAAACTCAGATATGTCTCCTATACATAGACAGGTACTTAAGAATACATACTACAGTGTTTTTCAAACTGCAGATCCCAACCCATTAGTGAATTTGAAAGCCATTTTGTGAGTAGAGATAAGCATTTAAAAGTGAAATATGGTAGGGAATAGCATAGCATAGCATAGCATAGCATAGCATAGCATAGCATAGCATAGCATAGCATAGCATAGCATAGCATAGCATAGCATAGGAAATATCCAGTGACTCACATGTAGGTAGAATTATGAAACTTTTTTTTATTTGTGTGGAAGTATGGGATTGTGATGTTTTTTACTCTGGATCATGGTCAAAAACATTGAAAAGACACTGGTCCACAACTTCAAGATACTATAAATTAGGTAGCTCATAAACAACAGGATTTTTGTTCTCCCAATTTTGGAGGCTAGAAAGTCTAAGATAAAGGCACTGGCAGATTTGTTGTCTAGAGAGGGCTTGATCTCTGGTTCATAGATGGTGCCTTTGAGCTGTGTCCTCACATGACGGAAGGGTCAAACAAGCTTCCTTAGGCCTCTTTTATAGGGCAGTAATCCTATTGATGAGGGCTCTGCCATCATGATCTGATAACTCTCCAAAGACCCTACCTTTTAATACCATCACCTTGAGTGATAAGATTTTACTATATGAACTTCAGGGGAAACATTCTGACCACAGCACAGGGTAACATAAAAGTTGAGCTGAATTCACAGACGGTACACCTTACCAGACTGCTGAGGGATTTGGACAACACAATGTTTTAAGACAGCAACCAATCTATCCGTAGATTTCACCGTCTGAGAAATGCCAAATAAAGTATTGACCATTTGGACTATTCGGCTGACCTAGAATGGTTTTTCTTAAGTTCAGAGAAACCAGTTACCTAAATTCTGATCTTATGTAGCAGCCATGAGAGTTTCTACAGAAAAGATTTCCAAGGATTTGAGAAAATGATAATGATGCTATGAACCATTATTTTGGTAGCGCCTTGAAATTCATCTTTACTTCTCCTCAAGGGCTACTTTTCCGGGCTAAGGCTTACATAAATAAAGCAACATTTATCCGTGCATATACAATACACACCACCCTACTTTCTAATGTAAGATTTTACAGGCAGTTAATGGACTGAGACTTGATTTTATTTCTAGTAAGTGTATGAGTATGAGTGAAAATCCTGACTCAGACTCCAAACTAAGCTGATCTATTCAGTTTTTGCTGCTCCTCCCCAACAATAGAGCCAGATTCTAATTTATGCAATAGTAAGCATGTTCTTATTAGGAGGAAAATGAAGAAAGTCTTGCTAACAATTATCAGCAGTAATATCTAATTGAATCCATATATGGATTCATTTTCTGATCCAACCAGAGGAGTTACAAGTTTGCCTATGAGGCAATGAAACATTTTAGTTATTCCTGAGAATACCAGGGTCTAACCAGCTAAACTCAGTGAAAGCAAATCAGGCTTTTCGTTTGTGGTTGCCTACCATAAATTTTGATTCAGCCTTGAAGGGTTAGTGTTATTTCTGAAGTTACGTTGACCTTACTTACCTAAACCACAAAGTAAATAAAAGGATGTCTAATGAATACATAGTCTTTCAGAGGGTTTCTCGTTGAAGGCTGCAGTTCTCAATTTCTATTGATCATAATTTCTATACATTTATGGAATGGAGAAAGTCTGCAGCTCTTCTCTTGAGGTTATTCAAGGCAATTGATTCATATAGAAATACCCATCTTCTTTGCCATACAGCCAGCTCTTCCTGAGACACTTTTAGTGGAAGAGATGGGAGCTTAGCCATTACTAGGGTTGGAGACGCCACTCTTTTCTCTCTTGGTGTGACCCTTGTTCCAGGACCTTTTCTATCTGTAGGACAAACAGAAATGCTCTGTGAACAGTAAGTGAAGCTGGAGCTACAAAAGCATGAAGCCCTTGGAGGGAGGCATCGGGGGCTCAGGACATCTGCAGAAAAAGTTAAAAATGAGTCAATATGTGAAAAATTTGGATGTGTTCTAAAGCCTTCTGAAGACATCAAAAGCCAAACATCGTAAGAAAAGGAATAAACAAAATAAAAACTGCCATTTTTACAGCCTTCCCAGGATCACCACTGATTCTATTTAACCTGAAAATATTTAGCTGGGTTAATGTTATTCGTAATATAAAAACCAGAAAGACATATTTTAGCCAAAATAAATATAGAAGTAAAACAGAAACTTTGAGGAAAGAAACCTTTGATAACGAATATTTTAGAATTACTGTATGTCAAGTCATTTAACAATGTCTTTGCCTGGCAGTACGTCCAGGGATCCCCTGGACTGTCAGATGTGAGTCTCATCTGAGTATAGCTTGGTGTCTGCATCACAGCCTGAAGGCTTAGAGCAGGATACCTAATTTACCCAGAGCAATGGAAGTGCAATTATGTTAAAGAGTTATACACGTGTTGAGACAGATCCACTTTTTGAAACTAAAAGACTTCCAAAGATTTTGGAAAGGCATTTTCAGGTGCTAGAACTTTCAAAAATAATAGCATCGGTTGAACTTTTGATAACTCTCTCAAAACTTCCCAACGTGTCCCGCTTTTCTCCCCATGCCAAATAGTGTACAATTTAAGTTTATATTAAAAGACTCTCTAAAAGAATTACATTTAATAATCTAGAGCTGCACAGCCCAATATGGTAGCCATTGGCCATGTGTGGCTGTTTAAAGTAATTAAAATTAATAAAGTTAAAGATGATGTTCCCCAATCATACTGGCCACATTTAAAGTGCTCTGTGGCTGCATGTGCCTACTAGCTACCATATTGCACAGCACAGGTATAAAACATTTCCAACACTGCATAAAGTTTTGTTGGACAGCACTGATCTTAACTTTTCTTAGTGTATACTGCAGGTCACTAGCTTTAGGCTCCTAAAGGAGAAATGTACAGGGAGTTCTGAGTTAAGCATGTCTCTTCTCTTGTGTGTGTGTGTGTGTTGGTGCTTTTCTTATGCTAGTAAGAACTGTCAATCTTCAAGAGGAAGCTCTGGGATATAGGGGATTCCCAAATCAGTTTAGATATCAAACTCTTCTTTGTGGAGTAACTTCCAAGACAGTGTTCCACGGAACAAACTATAGAAAATGTGTGTCTGTGGAGTAAGCAGCTTGACATTATGAAATGTGCCTTACCACATCTGTCTCCCCTTCTGTGTCCAGAATAATGCTTCACACATAGTGGGTTGCACTGTTGGTTTAACTGAGGCAAGGGATATAGCCAAGTCAAAGACAAGTGGTAAACAGATACAGAGTGATAACCATTTAGTTTTGGTACTCCTACACCAATTGCCTCTGTACTGCCGCTACCACATAGATAAAACCACCAATCTTCGGCTGGGCACCGTGGCTGACACCTGGAATCCCAACACTTTGGGAGGCTAAGGCGGGTAGATCAAGAGGTCAGAAGTTCGAGACCAGCCTGCCCAACATGGCGAAACCCAGTCTCTACTAAAAATACAAAAAATTAGCTGGGCGTGGTGGCAGGCACCTTTAATCCCAGCTGCTCAGGAGGCTGAGGCAGGAGAATCACTTGAATCCGGGAGGAGGAGGTTGCAATGAGCTGAGATTGCGCTGCTGCACTCCAGCCTGGGTGACAAGAGTGAAACTCCATCTCAAAAATAAATAAAAATAAAAATAAAACTGCCACTCTTCTATACCCAAGTACAAATACATTTTTAATTTCTACATTTAGATTCACTTCTTTGATGTACACCTTTCCATTTTTTTGAGAAAGCAGAACACATCCTAACAGATATATTGTTCTGAATTATTATTTAGTTTGCTAAATTTTCATTTGAATTTGTTTAAAACTCCAGTTTCTCTCAGTACACTGGAAAGAAAAATCTACAGGCTACAAAAGCCCTCTATTTTCCTAGTATTGCAGTTTGAACATGTTCTAATTGGAAATTGATGCTTTAAAAACAACTTAAATTTTCTTTTTAATGATCTCTCTTACCAGAAGCTGGCTGGAAGTTCTGGGAGGCAAGAGAATATTCCAGGCAAGCCACAGATCCTTCTTTTGAAAATCTCTTTAATGTATTATAGCTTAATTTGCTTTTTTTTTTTTTTTTTTTCTGAGACGGAGTCTTGCTCTGTCGCCCAGGCTGGAGTGCAGTGGTGCGATCTCGGCTCACTGCAAGCTCCACCTCCCAGGTTCATGCCATTCTCCTGCCTCAGCCTCCTGAGTAGCTGGGACTACAGGTGCCCACCACCACACCTGGCTAATTTTTTCTGTTTGTTTTTAGTAAAGATGGGGTTTCACTGTGTTAGCCAGGATGGTGTCGATCTCCTGACATTGTGATCCACCTGCCTCGGCCTCCCAAAGCACTGGGATTACAGGCTTAAGCCACCATGCCTGGCCAGCTTAATTTACTTTTATCTGAACCCTCCTTTAAAAATCTCAGCACCTTGATTGTCCTCTCTCTGAAATAAGATATCCTTACTCACGATAAATATTCCGAGACCCTAGCAGACTATAGAAAAATGAAGGTGGGAGGAAATTGCTTTGACCTCCACAGAGGCCAGGTGCTAAGCAAACTCCCCATGGCCTTCCGGCTCCTGAGTCTTTGCTCTCTTTTTTTCTCAGATATCTCACTCTTCTACATCCAAAGACCCATCTTCTCCTGGAGACTTTATTTCCCTTCTTCTGAATGCCTATAATGGTCACTATTGCACCTCCTGCTCGGTTTGGCCCGGGGTTTTCCTTCTCTCAATTGGCTGAGAGAAGGAAACATGTTATGTTTTGTTTCCCAGATGTGCTGGCTGGCTCTTTACAACAGAGATCACAATTTATGTTTCTTGAGCACTTAGGACAGGTTGTACAAGCACCAGGTGTTCAGTAAATAACAGTAAAAATATGATGTTGCAAATACATATTTTAGGTGCATGCCAAGTAGTGAAAATACTACTACACACACGTTAGCATATGCATGGATACACGCACCCTCACCCACTGCTTAAAGTAGATTAGTTACTCATAACAGTGAAATTTCCTTTACATGAAGTGGTCTAACTTTAAAGTTGTTATAAGACATATAATAGGGAAGAGCTTGGCAAATTACAGAATAGCAAATATATATATATACACATACATATATATATTTATAAATTTAATCTACATAGATAACAAATCACTTTAAGATCTTTAGAAATATCTAGTCACATAACAGCCATTGTGATAAGGCAGAAGTTAGATGAACTAGAATTTATTTACCTCTCTTTTTTGATAGTATTTTTATTGCGATATACTAAATTTATTAAAGTTTGAATAAACTCAAAATTCACCATTTTAAGGTATCCATTCAGTAGTCTTTAGTGTATTTGCCATGTTGTGCAACCACTACCACTATCTATTTCCAGAAATGTTCTATCTTCCTCCACAAGAAACTCCAAACCTGCTAAAATTAGCTTCAATATGCCCCCTTCTAGCATGCCCTGGATCAGCAGCCTAGCCACTTCACCCGTCTTATGTGTAGACTGTGGGGCACTGATGCCCTCCCCACTCTACTCCCAGGCATGTCTCCAGGCATTCAGAGCACTTGCTGCCTGAATTAGCCACCTGAGCTGCCCCACCCTTCCTGTGCACAGATTGTGGTGCAGCAAGGCCCTCTCCGCTCCCTGTCCAGGCAGATCTCCAGGCACTTGTAGCACCTGGTTAGGAGTTTAGGCCTCCCTTCCTCCCCATGCAGAGAACTTGGGGTTGAGGAGGTTTCCCAGGTCCATACCTAGGCAAACCTCTAGGCACTTGGTGGCCACCCACTGGATTCTCCGTCAGCACTGGCACTTGTGCCTACCATTGGGAAGATTCCTAGGAGGGCCTGCACATCTTGGTTCCCCGCCCCCCGCCCCCATCCAGGGCTGAACAGGGAGCTTAGACCACTGTGCACTTCACAGATCAGCCCATTGCCTGAGCCAACAGAGAGCTTCTCCCAGTAAAAAAGGATCAAGTATATGCCCTTCCACGTTGGCTGTAGCCAGCTCTAACCCATAAGAGCCACCTATTGGCCTGGAGGTTGAACAACATAACATAATAGGAAATCTGTCACAAGCACACAGCACTAGGGAACAAGATACACCTCCTGTGACCACAGCCACCTTAACCCCACGGGATGTAGTGAGTCTGCTCACATGCCCAGTACATCACTACTGAAACCAGCACTTGGATAAGCCATCCTACAGAGGCTATAACCGGTGAACTTTTCTTTTGCCACTAAAAACACCCAGCACTGGAGATCTAACCCTCAGCATAGTCTGTTCCTAAGGGAGAGGGGAGTGTAGCCTGCCAAAGCCCCCCTTGTGCCCAAGGAAATGCAAGTACAGCACCAGCTGCTGAAGGCGGCACCACCATAACCCAGAAACGGATATGAAGAGGCTGTCATCTCTCACCCTCTGGCCTCCTTACTCTGTGCACTCTTGCAGGCTCAACAGTGGCTCTTATCAGAGCACAGGGAGTGTGGGGTGAAAGAAAATGCTTCTTAGGCTTATACAGTGGTTCCAACCCCATTGAAGGTGAAGAATGTATGCTGGGGAAGGGTGCTTTTCATGCTTCTCCATTCCCTTTGCCCTGCCCTTATTGGCTGGCTCTTACTCTTAACTGCCACCTAATGGACTGCAGTTTCAATTCAATAAAAAGACTTAACGATTTTAAATAAATACGCATCCAACATTGGAGAATCCAGATTTACTAAAAAAATTACTTCTAAACTTAAAAAAAGACTCTGGTAGCCACACAATAATAATTACTAAACAAAATTACATCACTGCCACAAGTGACCACGGAGAAAGCCACTACATGAACTTGTCCACAACCAAGGAACCCATACATACAGAGCCTTGGCACCCTGAAAGCATCCAGAAACAAACCCAATAGACCTTACACAAGATATACCACAGTCATACCCCCAAAGGAAAAAAGAATTAAAAAAATTAAAAAGCCCCATACAAACATTAGCATTTTTTTAAAAGGAAGAATCAGCTCTCTCAAATGAGATTTCTTCTCATTTGCACAAGAACTCTGGAAATACAAAAAGCTAGAGTATTTTGTCACCTCCAAAGGATCTCACTAGCTCCCAAGCAATAATGGACTCTAACCAGAATGTAATGTCTGAAATGACATGTATAGAATTCATAATATTGATGGCAAAGAAACTCAATGAGATCCAAGCAAAAGTTGAAATCTCACACAAAACAAAATGATCCAAGATTTGAAAGACAACATAGATATGTTAAAAATAAGATAAAAGGCCTAACAAAACTTCTAGAATTGAAAAATTCACTACAGGAGTGTCAAAATACAGCTGTAGCCTTAACAACAGACTAGACCAGGCAGAATAAAGAATTTCAAAGCTTGAAGACTGATTCTTCAAACCTGCCCAGTCAGGCAAAAATAAGAAAAAAAGAATTAAAGCAAAATCAATAAAGCCTTTGAGAAATATCAAGTTATATAAAGCCACCAAATATATGATGTATTGGCATTCCTGAGAGAGAAGAACAGAAAGTAAGCAACTTGGAAAACATATTTGAGGTTATAATTCAGCAAAACCTCCGCAATCTTGCTAGAAAAGTTAGCATGTAGATACAAGAAGTCCAGAGAACTCCTGTGAGATACTATACAAGATGACAATCTTCCAGGTACATGGTCATCAGACTATTCAAAGTCAACACAAAACAAAAAATTGTAAAGGCAGCTAGAGAAAAGGGTCATATTACCTAAAAAGAAGAAACCCATCAGACTAACAGTGGACTTTTCAGCAGAAATCTTATAAACCAGAAGACATGGAGGGCTTAGTTTTAGCATTCTTAAAGAAAAGAAATGCCACTCAAGAATTTCATATCCTGTCAAACTAAGCTTCATAAACAAAGAAGAAATAAAGTTCCAGATAAGCAATCAGCAAGGGTATTTGTCACAACCAGACCAGCCCCACAAGAGATGCTTAAGTGATCTCTAAACATAGAAATGAAAGAATAATTGCTACCACAAAAGCACACATAAGCACATACCTACAGACCCTACAGAGCAACTACACAACCAAGACTACAAAGCAACCAGTTAACACTATGACAGGGATAAAACCTCACATGTCAAAATTAACATTGAATGTAAACAGCCTAAATGCCCCCCTTAAAAGACACAGCGTGATAAATTGGATTTAAAAAAACAAAACCCATACTTCTGCTATCTGCAAGAGACCCATCTCACATATAAAAACACCCATAAGGTCAAAAGAAGGGAAGGTAGAGAAAGATCCATCAAGCAAATGGAAAACCAAAAAGAGCAGGATTCACTATTCTTGTATCAGATAAAATAGACTTTAAACCAACAACAGTAAAAAAGGACAAAGAAGGACATTACATGGTGATAAAAATTTCAGTTCAACAAAAAGACTTAACTGTTTTAAATAAATATGCATCCAACATTGGAGCATCCAGATTTATTAAAAAGTTACTTCTAAACTTAAGACTCTGGTAGCCACACAATAATAATGGGAGACATCCACACAACACTGACAGCATTAAACACATCATCGAGGCAGAAAACTAACAAACTCTGGACTCTAATACTTGACCAATCGAACCTAATAGACATCTACCGAATACTACATTCAAAAACTAGAATATACATTCTTCTCGTCTGCACATGAAACATACTCAAACGTTGACCATATCCTTGGCCATACAGCAAGTCTGAGTAAAGTCAAACAAATCAAAATTACACCAAGCATCTCCTCAGACCACAATGGAATAAAAATAGAAATAAATACCAAGAGGAACTCAAAACCACATAAATATATGAATATTAAACAACTTATTCCTGAATGACTTTTGAGTAAACAATAAAATTAAGGCAGAAATCAAAAAGTTCTTTGAAACAAATGAAAATATAGACACAACATACCAAAACCTCTGGGATATGGGAAAAGCAGTGTTAAGAGGAAAGTTTATAGCACTAAACACCTACATCAATAAGATAGAAATATCTTAAATTAACAATTCAATTTCACACCTGAAGAATCTAGACCAAAAAAAAAAAAAAAAACCGAAAGCTAGCAGAAGAAAATAACTAAAATCAGAGCAGAACTTTATGAAATTGAGACCCCCAAAAACACAAACAGAATCATTAAAATGAAAAGTTTATTCTTTGAAAGGACAAGATATATAGACCACTAGGCTCAATTAACAACAACAACAACAAAAAAAATCCAAATAAGCACAAAGTTAACAAAGGTGACATCCAACCAATCTCACAAATATAGAAAAGATCCTCAGAGACTGCTGTGAGCATTTCTATGCCATAAAACATGAAATCTAGAGAAAATGAATAAATTCCTGCAAACACACCGACTCCCAAGATTGAACCAGGAAGGAAGAAAAATCCTGCACAGGACAATAAGGAGTAAAAAAATTGAAACAGTAATTTTTTTTAAAAAACCCACTAATCAAAAAGGAAAAAAGCCCTTGAAGAGATGGGTCAGCCAAATTCTACAAAAAGAGCTGGTACCAATCCTACTGGAACTATTCCAAAAAATCTAGGAGGAGAGACTTTTCCCCAACTCATTCTATGAAACCAGTGTCATCTTGTTACGAAAATTCTGGCAAAGACACAACCGAAAATGAAAACTATAAGCCAGTATCCCTGATGAACAAAGATGCAAAAATCCCCAACAAAATACTAGCGGAAAGAATCTAGCAGCACATCAAAAAGATAATTCACTATGATCAAGTAGGCTTTATTCCTGGGATGCAAGGATGGTTAAATATATGCCAATCAATTAATGTGATACACCCCATAAACAGAATTTAAAAAGCAAAAATTATGTGATCATCTCAATAGATACAGAAAAAGCATTCAGTAAAATACAACATCCCTTCATGATAAAAATCCTTGACAAACTAGGCATTCAAGGAATATATCTCAAAATAATAAGAGCCATCTATGTCAAGCCTACAGCCAATATCATATGTAATGAGCACAAGCTGGAAGTATTTCCCCTATGAACTGGAACATGATAAAGATGTCCACTCTCACCATTCCTATTCACTATAGTACTAGAAATCCTAGCCAGAGCAATCAGGCAAGAGAAATAAATAAAAGGCATCCAAATAAAAAAATAAGTCAGATTATCTCTCTTCACTGATAATATGATCCTATACCTCAAAAACCCTAAAGATTCCTCCAAAAGACTGCTAGAGCTAGTTAATAACTTCAGCAAAGTCTCAGGATACAAAATAAATGTATAAAAATCAGTAGCATTTCTATATATCAGTAACATTCTAGCTGACAGCCAAATCGAGAATGCAATCCCATTTACAATGTCCACAAAAATAAAATACCTAGTAATACATCTAATAAAGAAGATGAAGGATCTCCACAAGGAGTACTACAAAAGAATGCTTAAAGAATGTATAGATAACACAAATAAATGGAAAATCATTCCATGCTCATGGCTTAATAGAATCCATATTGTTAAAATGGCCATATTGCCCAAAGTGATCTACAGTTTCAACACACTTTCTATCAAATTGTGAACATCACTTTTTCACAGAATTAGAAAAACCTATTCTAAAATTCACATGGAACCAAAAAAGAGCACAAATGGCCAAGGCCAACCCTAGACAAAAACAACAAAGCTTCAGACCTTTCTCACATTACAGGTCTTCAAACTATACTATGAGGCTACAGTAACAAAAGCAGCATGGTACTGGTTCAAAAATAGACACATAGACCAATGAAACAGAATAGAAACCCCCAAAATAATGCTGCATACCTACAAACAACTCATCTTCAACAAAGTTGACAAAAATAAACAATGGGGAAAGGACACCCTATTTAATGAATGGTGCTGGGAAAACTGGCTAGCCATATGCAGAAGAATGAGAATGGCCCCCTACTTCTCATCATATACACAAATTAATTCAATATGGATTAAAAACTTAAATGTATGGTGTCAAACTATTAAAATTATAGAAGAAAGTCTAGGAAATACTCTTCTAGACATTGTCTTAGGCAAAGAATGTATGATGAAGATCCCAAAAGCAAATGCAACAAATGAAAAGTAGACAAATGAGATTTAATTAAACTAAAGAGCTCCCACAAAGCAAAAGAAACTCTCAACGAGTAAACAGACATCCTAAAGAATGGGAGAAAATATTTGCAAACTCTGCATCCAACAAATAACCCAGAATCTATAAGGAACTTAAAAAAATCAACCAGAAAAAAAAACAAACAATCCCATTAAAAAGTAGGCAAAGGACATGAACAGAGACTTCCCAAAAGAAGACATACAAGCCACTAACAAATACATGAAAAAGTGCTCAATATCACTAATCATCAGAGAAATGCAAATTAAAACTCAACTGAGGTACTATCTCAAGCCACTCAGAATGGTGATTAGTGAAAAGTTAAAAATAATAGATATTGGCAAGGTTGTAGAGAAAAGGGAACGCTTATATACTGTTTATGGGAATGTAAATTAGTTCAGCCACTGTGGAAAGCAGTTTGGAGAGCTCCTAAAGAACTAAAAGTAGAACTACTATTTGACCCAGCAGTTCCATTACTGAGTATATTTACCCAAAGGAAAATAAATCATTCTTCCAAAAAGATAATATGCACTCCTATGTTCATTGCAGCACTATTTACAATAGCAAAGATGTGAAATCAACCTAGGTGCCCATCAATGATGGATTGGATAAAGAAAATGTGGTATACATAAACACCATGGAATACTACATGGCCACGAAAAGAACAAAACCAAGCCCTTTACAGCAACATGGGTGTGGCTGGAGGCAGTTATGCTATGTGAACTAATGCAGACACAGAAAAGCAAATATCACATGCTCTCACTTAAAAGTGGAAGCTAAATCTTGGATTCACACAGACATAAAGATGGGAACAATAGACAATGAGGACTTTGAAAGGAGGGAGAGGGAAGGCAAAGGCTGAAAAAGTTTCTATTGGGCACTATGTTCACTACCTGGATGATGAGGTTAATAGAAGCCTAAACCTTAGCACCACGCAATATATCCTTTAACAAATCTGTACATGTTCTCCCAAATCTAAAATATAAATGGAAATTTTTAAAAGTATGAAGATGCTGCTAGTTTTGAAGTAAATATTAAATAAATGAGCTTGATCCTAGTAAATCCCATCTAGTTCATGAGCAAGGTGACTAGGCTGCTTGGTAATACAGTTGAGCCATGGTTTGGTACGGACCTTTTTTGCTCAAATAGCTTTTACACATGTCATTAAGAGTTTCATGTTAGAGCCTCAGGTCCTATTTACATCTGATTTTCCCCCCAAGACATAAGTGAGAATTAAATCCACAAAGTGTATTCCTAGTCCAGCAACAAAATGCTCTTTTAAAATCTGAGAGAAATTCTTATCTCTATAGAAAATTAATTTTTTTCCCTGCAGAAAACCTAAACAAGCAAGATTGCCTCTAGGTTTTATTTTGCTGCTTCTTCATTAGAAGCTGTGAGAAGCTGTCTCCCAAGAAACAGACCTGCTGCATAATAACCTATGAATACACAGATTTTAATATAAAAATGAAATGATCTACAATTGAGTTAAAACCACCAAGTTTTAAAATACAAGCCTAATCATAATTGTGATACAAAATAACTGGTCGAGCTTTGAAAATTATATTCAAAAATAAAAGCAATCGTTACTATTAAAAAACATACACAAATAATGCTTAACTTATATAGAACTGAAAGTTCAAGAAGTTTATACCAAATAATGAATGTAATAAAGTTCACTTGAATTATAAGAGACAGTTCTGAAAAATTACGAAACAATTTGAAATTACTACTTGAAATGACTACTTCAGAATTTAAGAAACTTATAGGTTCGTTTTTATTTTGACTTTTATTTGATGACTATATTTTAAAATTAGGTCAGTAATAGCTTAAAACCAGATTTTTTTTTATTATACTTTAAGTTTTAGGGTACATGTGCACATTGTGCAGGTTAGTTACATATGTAAACCAGATTTTAATTAGGTATATTTTTGTGTTTTACTATTTCAGTTATTGCTTAAGAATTCTGGTTGCCTGCGTCAACTGCCATGTCTTTAAATTATGATTTTTTAAATGTTTTATTTAGTTTATTTATTAGAAACATATGAATTCAGTAATCTATTTAGGACATAAATTAACAAACGGATCAAAAGCACTTACATATAGTAAACTTCCTCACTTTAAATTATTTTAACAGCCTGGGCATGGTGGCTCACACCTGTAATCCCAGCACTTTGGGAGACTGAGGCAGGCGGATCACCTGAGGACAGGAGTTCAAGACCAGCCTGGCCAACATGACAAAACCCTGTCTCTAAAAATACGAAAAAATTAGCCAGGCATGGTGGCAGGCGCCTGTAATCCCAGCTACTTGGGAGGCTGAGGCATGAAAATCACGTGAACTTGGGAGGCAGAGGTTGCAGTGAACCGAGATTGTGCCACTGCACTCCAGCCTGGGGGGTGGAGTGAGACTCTGTCTCAAAAAAAAAAAAATTATTTTAACAATCCAACAATTTCATTCTTCAATATATGTACCCCCCCAAAAATGCATACATGTGTATTAAAAATTGTGTTAAGAATGAGCATGACATCCTTAATATTAACTCTAAATTGAAATGACCCAAATGTTCCTCAAAAATAAAACTGACCAATAAATTGTGGCATATTAATATGATGAAATACTCCACACAATGAAAAAGCTAAAGTTACAAGCACAAACATGGATGAATCTTATACATGCTTTTGAGCAAAAGCCTGGTAACATAATACATGTTGCATACTTCCATTTATATAAAGTTCCAATTACAGTAAGCATTAGGAGTCACCATAGAGCTGTTTAGGGAGTAGTTAATAAGTAATGGTTGGGAAGAGAGACAGAGTAGGATCCTGAGCGGGAGGGATTATTTCATGATCCGCGTGGTCATTACATAGATTTATTCATTTTGCATTAATTACTGAATGATTTGGATACTTTTCTGTATGCATATTGTGCTTTAATTAAACAGTTTTTAAAATTAGAAAAGAAAAAAAAAGAAATCCTGGGGTCACTGCTCCCATCCTGTCTTTCTTAGATTCCTCTGCCTCTTGAGTCACTAGAGCTATTTGACTAAGGGGTGGGCAAAATAAATACCAGTCTATCATTTGGCATAGAATCTTTGGGGGAACATAGTTCCGTGATGTGTAATAAGGTTTGTGTGGGATAGGTGAGTAGAGTTGCTCCTTAATTTACCATGGCAGAGAGAGGGAATCAAGGACAGAGAGGTGGTGGCTGGTATAAGAGACCTGGAAGAAAGAGTCCCTCCTTGAAGGTGGGCATGGCGATGAAACTGCCCATAGCCAAGTGTGTATTTCGCCACTAAGTAAGGCTAATGGCCAATTTGGGATGAGGAGATAAAAATGATCTATAAAGTGCCCCTAGGATGAAAACATATGGCCTATTTCCAAGCTTAAAAAAATAAATTTTTCGCCGGGCGCGGTGGCTCACGCCTGTAATCCCAGCACTTTGGGAGGCCGAGGCGGGCGGATCACGAGGTCAGGAGATCGAGACCATCCCGGCTAAAACGGTGAAACCCCGTCTCTACTAAAAAATACAAAAAATTAGCCGGGCGTAGTGGCGGGCGCCTGTGGTCCCAGCTACTTGGGAGGCTGAGGCAGGAGAATGGCGTGAACCCGGGAGGCGGAGCTTGCAGTGAGCCGAGATCCCGCCACTGCACTCCAGCCCGGGCGACAGAGCGAGACTCCGTCTCAAAAAAAAAAAAAAAAAAAAAAAAAAAAAAAAAAAAAAAAAATAATAATAATAATAATAATAATAAATTTTTCTTATAGGCCCATATAAATGATTTAGCAATGTTTTTCAGCCTACAGATATAAAATCATTTTAATAATCACAATCAGCCTCATTTTTATCCCATGGATTGGGATAATATAGAATAGTGCATTCCCAAGTAGCAAGGATAAGTATTGTTTTGTCAAACTGTCTTAGTTGTGCATCTGTGTGTGTGTGTGACACATGGACGTGTGCACAGAGACACAGAGAGTCGGACAATAATATAAAATGCATTTCTTACTCAAGTTACTCTCAGAAATGTTTGAAAGCCACGCCTCTATGGAAATCTTCAGTTATTTTTTGTTTTGTTAGCCATGGCATTTGTAAACATTTCTGAAAATTTTCCTGGCTTACGTGTAAATACCCTATTTGTTTCTAAAGTAGAGGCGAATTTCCATTTTGATCATTCTTTTGCAGCCAAAAGTTGTATAAGAGGCATTGTGATATGTTTTATGTGAAAGGCAAGATGCGGTGTGCTATGACATGTTGGAAAGAAAGATTTCTAAAATTGCTAAATGTTTTTTGAAAGAAAACAGAACTATCAATCTTTTCTACCCCCAGGAACATTTCAAATTGGCTTAAAGCATTGTTTTGGAGGTGTGAATAATGAAGCCAAGGACATTAGCAACATCATGAAAGCAGGTATGACCCAAAACATTCCAATGTTTTGTCTAGAAAACTCCAATCTGCCCTTTTCGTTCATACATTTCCAAATAAAATAAGTGGCCTCCCAGCAGAAGTCTTAACATACATGTCTCTGAGCAAAGGGAAAATGTATAGGTCTCTTTTTGATGGCATGAAAAGGCCAGTAAAACCCATGGAACATTCATGAGCATTGCTAAGTTTTCTGTTGTAATAAATGTCCATTTTCTGGAAACTCAATGAAGGAGAATCCAGTTGACCTCTGATAACACAAGTCCTTTCCAGTCTTAGTTATCACACCAATTCACGTTGGACACAAATCTATATAAGCCATTAAGTCTTCACAGTGGCTGAATAACCACATAAATGGACATTTCTCCAATGAGGGCTCCAGTTGCATTTGCTCTGTGGCCAGTATTTCCAGGCTTTGATTCTTATCTCAAGTACTTCATTCAAGGCATTATTTTCCTCAAAGCCCTATGTTACTTCTTTTTTTTTCCCCCATCCTCACTCATAGAAATAGAAATGATCTTCGTTCTTGACTTCTCACATATATTCCAAACTTCCAAATGCTCATGGGAGACCTTAAATTTGACATCTGGTTGTCCCACCAATTTCAACATTTCCATCACCCAAACTCTTCATGTTTCTCAAGCTTTCAGTCAAGATCCTTCACAAGTACCCCCATTTTATATAGGGCTACCATTATTTCTTCAGGCAAGACATCCAAACATCACTTCAAAACTCTTCACTCACAATTTCCAATCTTGCAAGAGGATTTGTTATTTCTTTCCTTGAAATGTCCTTGAGATTTGCCCTTTTTATGTATTTATACTGAAACCACCATATTCATGGTTGTCATCAGCTTATGCCTGGATTACTGCTATATCCTTCTTATTCCTGGTTTAGCTGATGAGGAAATTATGGGCAGGAGGATAACTTAAAACTTGATTAAGAATGTGCTGTGTCAGACACTATGCTAGTCACAGAATATACACCGCAAATAAATAAGACCCAACACCTGACATCAAGTCACTCAGAATCTCTTGGCTGCTACTGCTAAACTTATACCAGGCATTCTTAAACGTTACTGTCATCGTGTCACTCTCCTCTTTCAGAACTTGGAATGCTTCACATATTTGCTTCATTAAGTACAAATGCTTTTGTCTGATTTTTGTAGTTTTTGCTATTTGGAAAGCCTGCATCTGTCCTACCTTGTTCGCCTTTATTCCCTCACATGGCTCATTTTATTCATCAAGCATAAAATGCTACTTGCCACTACATGTTCCATACAGTTCCTTTCCTTGACTCCTGATCACCCTTCCTGGAGGCCTTCCTTTCTCCTTCTCCCACACAAACCTTATCTGTCCTTCAGGGCCCATTTGCCAGCTTCTCTTTTCCATAAAGCCTTCTGAAATTTTTGCAAACCAATTCTTCCCGTCCCAATGCCTATTGTTGGAGATAATTCTACCTTAGAATTGAGGGACAATTCTATAGTTAGGGGACAGTTCTACCTTAGAGCACTGAGTGTGCTATTAATTTTACCATGTGTTTAAGGATGTTCCTATACACAGAAATAAACTTTTTGATCTTCTCTTAAATACTGGATGTGGGCCCCATACCACCTAGTACTGTGCCAAATCAATAGTGGATTTGGCCTTCACGAGGCATGCTTTTCTGTCTCATCACTCTATTACGTCTCCTTATTCATCAAGTGTTCAGTGACTGACCACCTGTGTCTGGCCAAGGGTTAGACATTTGGGGTTAAACATATTGTATTAGTCTGCTCTCATGCTGCTGTGAAGAAATACCCAAGATTGGATAATTTATAAAGGAAAGAGGTTTAATACACTCACAGTTCTGCATGGCTTGGGAGGCCTCAGGAAACTTATAATCATGGTGACAGAGGAAGCAAACATGTCTGATATGATTTGGCTCTGTACCCACCCAGATCTCATCTTGAACTGTAGTTCCCATAATCCCCATGGGAGGGACCTGGTGGGAGGTAATTGAATCATGAGGGCAGGTTTTTCCCATCCTGTTCTTGTGATAGTGAATAAGTCTCACAAAATCTGATGGTTCTATAAAGGGCAGTTCGGTGCCCTTGCACATGCTCTCTTGCTTGCCACCATGTAAGACATGCCTTTGCTATTCCTTCCTCTTCTGCCATGATTGTAAGGCCTCCCCCCAGCTATGGGGAAATGTGATTCCATTACATCTCCTTTTCTTTATAAATTACCCAATCTGGGCTATGTCTTTATTAGCAGTGTGAGAACAGATTAATACAACATCCTTCTTCACAAGGCAGCAGGAGAGAGAATGAGTGCCCAGCGAAGGGGCAAGCCCCTTATAAAACCATTAGATCTCATGAGAACTCACTATCACAGGAGCAGCATGAGGGTAACCACTTCCATGATTTAATCACCTCCCACCTGGTCCCTCCCAGGACACATGGGGATTATGAAAACTACAATTCAAGATGAGATTTGGGTGGGGACAAAGCCAAGCCATATCACTTATGCAATCAAATAAATATTGATAACAGAAATAAATACATAGTACAGCAGAAGCCCAGGGGAGGAGAGCCTAACTCTGTCTTCAAGAGTAAAGGGGATCCTCCTAAAAAGGATGTTCTTTCCTGCCCGGAATAGCTTTCCTTTCTAGTTTAACTAGCAATTTCTCTCAATCCCTGAGGCTTAGTTCAAAGTTTACCCTTTCTCTGCAGTTTTTCTGTCAACAACAACAAAAAAATAGTGGTCTTAAAATTATACATAAAGAAGTAAAAGAAAGACCCAGAAAAGTGTGATGACTTGCCCAAATGATGTATGCATTTTATTCATGTTCTCCATGAATATTTTTCTTTTTGATATTTGTTTGGAGTAATTATGCTTATAAATTACTTTTTTTAGATTTTGTGGTAACTACATATAAAGGGCAATCTTGATGCCAGGTGTGTTAGAGTTATTTGCAGAAATTATTTGGACTCTGTGACCCTCCTTGTCTTTCTTTTTTCTATTTCTGTACTTAATTTCTTGAAGGCTCTAAATGGACATAAAAGAGTCTATATAGGATGCTAGAACAAGCCCCAAACTGTATGGCTAATCTAGTGAGTATGTTTTGAAAAGGTCTCGATTTCCTTCCCTAGATCACAGGGAAGAAGTGTTTGATCTAACCCACCTAACTCTCATTTCCAACCAGTTGTGAAAACATGCCTCTCAAGATTTCAGACTGCTGGAATAGAGAGGAGTAAATAATCAGCGGAAAGTGGTTAAACATAGATCAGGGTTTAGATTTATAAAACCTCAGCAAGCTGGTCTGACGACTCCTCCATGGAACTCCAACCAGAGCTGCTCTTGTCGGTCATGGACATCTCTTAACTTTGATTAACCATTTTAGTGTCAGAGCTCTTTATTTTTTCAATATTTCTAATAATGTAACTGTACTATATTGCCATTTTTTAAAGTGTAAAAATTTACTATGTCCATTCAAATTAATTCAGTAATTTTTTTTTTTACTAATTCCTATGCCTCAGACATTGCAAAATGTCACTGAGGGAAAAGGACTCAGCATTAAATATCAGCTTACAAAATCACTGGGAAATTTCCATTAATACAAATGAATGTACATAAGTTTATTTCTTCTTTTAAATTATTGTCATATAATACCTGTGTGGGAGACAGTATGAAAAATGAAAAACACAAACTGTCTTACACTATTGGCAGGAATAAAAATGGCACTCTCAGAGTCTTTTGTTACTAGCTATCAAAATATCAAATATTTCTTCTTTTGATCTATCAACTCCACTACCATAAATGTAGTCTACTGGTATATTTTTATTGCAGCATTGTCTATCTATTAATGGAGATGTTTAGATAAAATACAGCAAAGGCATTCTATGATATATAATGCAACTATTTTCTGAAAATGAGACAGATCCATATATACTGATATGGAAATGTTTCTAAAATGTATTATTTTTTAAAAATTGGAGCAAACTTTTGGGATATCATTTATATTTTTAAAAATTCTTTGTAAGAACTTCCATTTTGAACCATAAACATAAAAGTAATGGGTCAGACTTTGTCTCAAATAACTAAAAAAGTAAACAAAATATTTTTAAGCAACTCTGTCTAGAATTTGACAATAGACAAGAGAGAGTTGTCTCTGATCTTTGAGAAAAGGGAAACACACGAATGAGCTTCAAATTTGCCACAGTTTTCTACTTCAAAAAACCTTACCAACTATGGTGCAGTAAAGCACAGACCAAACAGACAGCAGCAATCTCTCTAAGTGAAAGAGGGATCAAAATTCAGGGCTTCTAGGGAAGGTGGAATTTGAAGGGCACAGTACAGGAGAGAAGGAAGCTATACATGATATATCCCCTTGAATATTAAGCTGTGCATGTAAAGTGTGAAACCCTGAAAAAAAATCTGGGATAACAGCTACTGAAGGATTGTGAGCTGGAAGGAGATTCTGGAGATTATACAATGCTGAAATATGGTGGAGTTCCAACCAGTTAAGTGTAGAGACCTTTCTAAATACTCTGAGCATTTAGTTAAGACCTCAAAAACTACATACCATAGAAAAGTGCTACTGTATCCCAGTATAAAGGTAATCTTAGAGTAGCCTCAGCAAAACTCCAAACCAAGCTTTGCTTGGATTAAGCTGATTCTCCAATAAATCAACTACTTTCTAAAACCAAAGCACTGTTCAAAAGAAAAAAAAAAAGCAAACTGTCTTCAAGAAAAAAATATCTTCCTTGGTCAAAGAGTTCTATTTTTAGTTCTTTGACATACCTCCATTCTGTTTTACCAAAGACGTTGAACTACTTCAAATTCTCACCAACAGTTTATAAGCATTCCCTTTTCTCCACATCCATGCCAACACTGTGGTTTTTTGACTTTTTAGTAATAGCCATTCTGACAGGTGTAAGATGATATCTCAGTGTAGTTTTAATTTGTATTTATCTGATGATTAGTGATGTTGTATGTTTTAAGAAATATCTGTTCATGTCCTTTGCCCACTTTTTAATTTTTTTTTTTTTTTTTTACTTGTTGAGTTGTTTGAGTTCCTTGTAGATTCTGGATATTAGTTTTTTGATGAAGGTATAATTTGCAAATATTTTTCCCATTCTGCAGGTTGTCTGTTTTTTTTTTTTTATTATTTATTTTGCGGTGCAGAAGCTTTTTAATTTAATTAAGTCCTATTTGTCTATTTTTTATTTTGTTACATTTGCTTTTGGGATTTTCATCATAAATGCTTCGCCTAGGCCAATGTTCAGGTTTCCTTTTAGATTTTTACAGTTTCAGGTCTTACATTTAGGTCTTTAATCCATCTTGAGTTAATTTTTATATACAGTGAGAGATAGGGGTCCAGTTTTATTCTTCTGCATATGGCTAGCCAGTTTCCCTAGCACCATTTACTGAATAAGATATCTTATCTTCATTGTTTATTTTTGTTAATTTTATCAAAAACCCTTCCACCCAGCAATTCTGCTGTTGGGTATCCACCCAAGGGAAAGGAAATCATTACATGAAAAGACACCTGCGCTCACATGTTTATCACAGAACTATAGCTATCAAAATATCACAATAGCAAAGTCATGGAACCAACCTAAGTATCCACAAATGGTTGATTGGATAAAGAAAATGTAGTATATATACACTATGGAATACTATGCAACCATAAGGAATGAAATCATGTGTTGTGCAGCAACATAGATGGAGTTGGAGGCCATTATCCTAAGTGAAGTAACTCAGAAGCAGAAAATCAAATATCACCTATTCTCACATACAGGTGGGAGCTGAATAATGGGTACACATGGGCATGAGGATGTAAATAATAGGCACTGGGGATTTCAAAAGGGTGAAAGGGGCTTGGGGGTTGAAGAATTAGCTATTGGGTACAATGTACAATATTTTGTTGATGGGTACACTAGAAGACCAATCCCCACCATTATGCAATATGCCCATGTAACCATGTGACAAACCTGCACATGTACCAACTGAATCTAAAAGTTAAAATTACTTCAAAACATTAAAGACAAAATAAAAATAATAAAATCCTTAATATCCAACATATGCTAAAATAAAATGTTAGGCATGTAAAAATGAAGGAAATATGATTTATAATGAAGAAAAAATAGTAAATGGAAACAGGCCAAATGATAATACAGATGTAAAATTTAGGAGAAAATGACTTAAAAGGAAAAGAAAAGGAAAATATGGATCTAATGAGAGTCTAGGTGGAAATCTCAAAAGAGAGGAGAAAAGGTTATACCAAAAAAAAACAAAAAATCTAGGGTGGAAACATACAATATCTGAAATGAAAAGTACATTAAATACACTAAAAAAAGATTGAACACTCCAAAAGAAAGTAAAGCCTTTGAAAATTGTTTAATATACAATATGCAAAATAAAATATACAGAGGGAAGGAAGACTGAAAAAAATAATAGAGACACAGTGACTGTGAGACAATATTGAGCATTCTAACATATGTGCAATTGGAGTCCAAGATGGAAAGGAGTGACAGATCAAAACAAAGAAAACAAAAGTTTGAAAAATAATGGCTAAAATGCTAGAGAAAATTTTAAGAGCAGCCAGGGAAATATAGAACACATACAGAACAATAAGAATAAGCACTGTCTCCTCATCAGAAACAATGTAAGCTGGAAGAAAACGGAAAGGCATCTTTTACGTTCTAGGAGTAAAAACAACTTTTCAACCAAGAATTTCATAGGTTAGAATTTTATAGCCTGAAAAAAATGAAGGTAAAATAAAAATATTTTTAGATAAATAACTGAAAACATTCATAATTAGCTGATATGGTTTGGCTGTGTCCCCACCCCAATTCCATCTTGAATTCCCACCTGTTGTGGGAGGGACCCAGTAGGAGTTAATTGAATCATGGAGGTAGGTCTTTCTTGTGCTCTTCTTTCGATAATGAGTAAGCCTCATGAGATCTGATGGTTATTATAAGGGGGAGTTTTCCTGCACAAGCTCTTTATGCCTACCACCATCCACATAAGATGTGACTTGCTCCTCCTTGCCTTCTGCCATGATTGTGAGGCTTCCCCAGCCATGTGGAAACTGAGTTCTCCATTAAACCTCTTTCTTTTGTAAATTGCCCAGTCTCAAGTATGTCTTTATCAGCAGCTTGAGAACAGACTAATACAGTAAATTGGTATCAGGAGTGGGTTGCTACTGAAAAGATACCCAAAAATGTGGAAGCGACTTTGGAACTGTGTAAAGGCAGAGATTGGAACAGTTTGGAGGGCTCAGAAGAAGACAGGAAAATGTGGGAAAGTTTGGAACTCCCTAGAGACTTGTTGAATGGCTTTGACCAAAATGCTGATAATAATATGAACAATGAAACCCAGGCTGAGGTGGTCTCAGATGGAGATGAGAAACTGAGAAGCCTCGTCTCTACTAAAACTACAAAAATTAGCTGGGCATGGTGGCACATGCCTGTTGTCCCAGCTACTTGAGAAGCCCAGGCAGGAGAATCGCTTGAACCCAGGAGGCGGAGGCTGCAGTGAGCTGAGATCTCGCCATTGCACTCCAGCCTGGGCAACAGAGCAAGGCTCTGTCTCCAAAAAAAAAAAAAAAAAAAAAAAAAGCAAGACCCAAACATATTAAAAAAGAGACATTTGAAAATAAAAAAGTGGAAAGATATTTAGAATGTATATGAAAAGAGAAACATCAGAGAGATCATAAAGATATTTTTAAAACAAGGGATTATGAACTGTTTGTGACAATAATCAACCCTATACAAACTCTTTCAGAAAATAGTAGAGGAGGAAATACTTCTGCACTCATTTTATGAGGTCAGTATTACCCTAATATCAAATCCAGAGAAAACATAGGAAAACTATAGAAAAATATTCTTCATGCAAAAATCATAAAAATTCTTAATTAGATATTAGGAAACTAAATTCAGTAGTATATAAAAATCATAATGCATCATGACCAAATGAGGTTTACCTGGAATGCAGTATTGGTTTACTGTTTGAAAATCAATCAATGTAAACTACTATGCTAACAAAGGCCAAAAGAAACCACCATATGGTTATTTTAATAAATGCAGAACAATAATTTAATGAAATTCAACACTCATTCATGGTAAAAATCCTCAGCAAACTAGAAATAAAAGGAACTTCTTCAACCTGTTCCAGGTTAAGGAAGTTCAATCATCTATGAAAAATCTCCAGCACAGCACAGAAGATGTTTAGGACAGTGAAACTGTCCTGTATGATACTGTAATGGTGGATACATGACTTAGACATTTGTCAAAATCATGACAACTGTACACATGTACAAAGAGTGAACTCTCATATAAATTTTGGACTTTAGTTAATAAGAATGTGCTATGGTCCGAATGTTTGTCTCTCACCCAAAATTCGTAAGTTGAAATCTAATCCCCCATGAGATGGTACTAGGAGGAGGGGCCTTTGGAAGGGGATTAGGTTCTGAAGGTGGAGTCCTCGTGAATGGCATTAGTGCCCTTACAAAAGAGGCCTGAGAGGTCTTGTTTGACCCTTCCACCATGTGAGGACACAGCAAGAGGAAACTATGATATGAACAAAAAATGGGCCCTCACCAGACACCGAATCTGCTGACACCTTGATCTTGGACTTCCCAGACTTCAGCAATGTGAGAAAGAATTTTTTTCTTCGTTTAAAAGCTATCCAGCCTGTAGTATTATCTTACAGCAACCTGAATGGACCAAGACAATAATTGTTTCTCAATTTTAACAAATATTCCACACTATTGCAAGATATTAATCAAAGAAGAAATTGGGAGTGGGGAAAGGGAGCATATAGGAAACCTCTGTACTTGATGTTCAATTTTTCTGTAAACCTAAGATTGCTCAAAAAATTAAGTCTATTAATTTTTTAAAACCTATGGAAAATATCACATTAAATAGTACTTTCCGCCTAAAATGGGAAACAACACAAGCATATCCATTGTCACCACTTCTATTCCACATTGTGGTAGAGGTTCTGGCCAGCACAACCAGGCTAAATAACTAAGTACATAGTATGAAGATTGGGAAGTAAGAAAGAATATTATCTTCATTTGTAGATGATATAATGATTACACACACACACACACACACAAAAATCCTAAGGAAACTACAACAAAATTCCTAAACCCATTAAGTGATTTTAGCATGGTCACAAGAAGCAAGGTTAATATATAAAAATATATTGTATTTCAACAAGTGAGCAGTGAACAGTTGAAAAAAAATAAAATAGTAACAATAGCATCTACAATAGAATCAGTAAGTACACAATACTCAGGCATAAATTTAACAATAAGTGTGCAAAAGCTGTAGAGTGGGAAGTATCCAGCAGGCTTTTTAAAAGAAATTTTGACAGGCTGATTCTCAATATATACAGAATTTCAAAAGGCATTATAATAACAAAACAATCTTCAAAAAGAACAAAACTGGAGCATTGATACTACCTGATTTTAAGATTTACGGTAAAGTTACAGGGATCATGACAATGTGATATTAACTTAAGAATAAATGTACAAATCAATGGAATAAAATCAAAAGTCTAGAAGCAGAATGACAAGCATATGGTCACAATGTTTTTTAAATGGTACCAAAGCAAATTAAAGCAAAAGGAAAGTATTTTGAAAGCGTCATGCTGGCACAACTGGATATCCATATTTTTTAAATGAACCTTGACCACTATCTCATACCACATTTAAAACTTAATTTGAGATGAATCATAAACATAATTATAAAAGCTAAAACTTCTGAAAGAACACAGAGGAGACTATCCTCGCAATGTTTTGAGGAGGCAAAGATTTTTAGGCAGGATACAAAAAGCTCTTACTAGAAAAGAAAAAAAGATAAATTGTACTACACTTCCTTAAAATTAAAAACGTCTGTTTAAAAAAGACAATATTAAGAAAATGAAAAGGGAAGCCAGAGACTATGGGAAAATATTAATAATACCTATATCTGAAAAAATGATTTGTATCCAGAAAACATAAAGAACTCCTGTAACTTAATAATGAAAAGATAAACAGCCTGATTAAAAAGTTGGCAAAATATTTAAACAAGCACTTCTCAAAAGAATGTACAATTGCCTCTATCCACATAAAAAGACGACCCAAATCATTAATCATAACGAAAATGCAAATTAAAACTAAAATGATATATTACTTCATACACAGGAGGTCTATATGTTGAAGATGTGTAGCAGCTGGATTTCTCAGACACTGCAGGAGTGTAAAGTGGCTCAGGTATTTTAGAAAGCTGGTATCTATCTATCCTATGACCCAGGGATTTCACTTCAAGGAGAAATAGAGACACAAGTCCACAAAAATACTTTTATATGAACGTTCACATTCATGTTATTCATAATAATTTAACTGGAAACAATTCAAATATCCATCAAGAAGAAAACAAACAAATGTTGGTATACTTATACTACGGAATAGTGAAAACAAATAAGTCACTGATGCATGCAAATAAAATGAGTGCATTTCAAGAACATTTTGCTAAGTAGGTGACGCCAAACATAAGACACTGTATGATTCCACTTACATTAAATCCTGCAACAGGTAAGGATTTGGTATGAGAAAGCAGAAGAGTCTCATGGCCTGCGACGTGAGGTCGGAGCAGGGATTGACTGGGAAGGGGCATGAACGAACTTTCTGGAGTGGAAATATTCCATAACTTGATTCATTTTGGGGGGGCATACAGATGCTTGTATTTATCATGACTCTTTAAATTTTGGTATGCAGATTTCACTACATGTAAATTAGATCTCAAACAAAGGGAAAATGTTTTACACACACACACACAGCCTAAAGAAAGAAGAATGAGAAAGATATTTTGTTCTTTTAATTTTCTTAATCCATCCCAAGAAACTGTAAGAGTGTCTGGCACATAATAGGTACTCAGTACTTACTCAGCTCAGTGAATGAAGTGACATGCATGAAAAATTTTGAATGAACAAGAAAGTATAAATAGTAGTTACCTTTGAAGGTCAGCCAAGTAAAAGACAAGAGGATGTTTACTTACAACTTTACGTCTTTCTTCATAGTCCTCAGTACATACTACCTCCATACACGGGTGTGCACACGCACACAAACACACAAACTTTCAGAACATTATCATGTTATATTTATGTATGTTTTTTTAAAATCTAAATTTTGGTAAAAATTAAATATAAGTGTCTGGCACCTAATAGAGCCTAATGTATTTTGTTGAACAAATGAATAAATAGATAAACGATTATTTTCCACACAATTTTAGGTGGTTGAGTTTTTTAATGATGTTAAGCCATCTTTACATAATTTGTGCTTGTCAAAAGGTGAACTAAAAATTTCATAGTACCCGCTAGCAATGAAATTAGCTATCACTCACAAAGAGCATCATGGAGATTAAGTGTTGCTAATCTTCCCAACAACTTTGCAAGGCTAGTGTTAGTATCTCTACCTTACAAATGATAAAAGCTGAAAGCAGGGAGGCTAAAATGGTTTGTCAAGACTCGTGAGGTAGAGATGGGCAAATTCAGCATTTATTGCTACATCTGACTCCTAAACTTACGCTTTTTATAATGCTTTCCTTTGCCTTTCCTGTATTAAAAGCTAATAAAGAAGAAAGTAAAATAAAAAGTCACGTTTGAAAAAGGCAAATTAAGTTTAGAATAAAACAGTCAGACAACTGGCTTTTGGATAAAGATAGTCACCAGAAAGAAGAGTTGCTAAATGCCAGATACAAAATCCGACGAGGGGTAGGCCATCTAGACTGTTACCTGAAGCGCTGATATGGAGGCATTAGAATATCTGTAGAATCCATCAGAAATGGGAGGCTTGCTGAGTAAGATTTTCTTAAGTGACTTTTTATGTAATGACAAATACAAATTGTCCAAGTTCAGCTGAAGCGGACAGTGCTTCCGATGGAAATGTAAAGAGTCCTCATCCACAAGGACATGCCTCTGCTGAATAATTTTGCAACACACACATGCAATTGCAGTCAGCCAAAAGACAGCAGTAGCTGGCAGCTGAAACTCAGAGACCAAAAAATTGAGCAGCACAATGCTGTTCATGGAACTGAGGAATTTCTTTCATTATCTAAATCTTTAATAAGCTTGCCAAGAAGTTGTCTGGTTTGGATAATCACAAAAGAACAGAGGACAGAATAAGAGCTATAGGAAAGCAGGAAATGTTTGTCTCCTATTTTTTTTTTCAGACTTTTATCTTTTGGGTAGCAAAGTGAATTAATACATAAATCTATTTCTATATATGTTTTTACTAATATAAAATCAGAGTATCCCTACATCTTTAAGTAAATGTTAAATAAATATTTTAAAATTCATTTTGAAATGATACCAAATTATTAGTCTGGAGGCACCCACGTGTCTAGGTCCAGCCTTGGCTGTGTTTAGTCTTTCTTTTTATTTCTTTTGTCATGGAATCATGGCACGCACATGCAAAAGCAAAGACCTCCCCTAAGATTAGGAGTCTCTGAGGGAAAACTGCAGTCTTAAAACACATTTTTTAAAAAAATATATCAGAAACAATTTTGAGTGGTATGCAATTGAACCCTAAGATGAGTGTGGAATGTAAATGTGTTTTTGAAATTCAGACATGACAGTGGGCAATGGCCAAAAGCAAAGAGTTCACATTTGATGTAAGCCTTTTGCTCTACTTGAAAGTAGAATTTGGGACTGAGAATTAAATACCACACACAGGTATAATTCCACTAAAAAACTATGATATCCTATTCTATTTCTTCTTCTTAGCCACTCCTTACCATCTCAACCATTTCCGTAACTTGATGCCTCTCAGTATCACACACACACACATACACACACACATTACATGTACACAAGTCCTCATCCTAAAGGAAGATTTTAAGGAAAAGTGTGTGGCTGATTATAGTAGCTACTTATACAACAGAATTAATTCAGTAATTTGCAAGAGCTTCTCACAGATAATTGTCCTTACTGAAAAACAGAATTGCAAAAATAGTCCCAATGAAGACAAATTTTATATCCCTTGGATTCTTCCACTAGCATAACTTCCCTTCAAACATCAACACAGGTGATGGTTACCAAAAAGTTCCCATTCAGCTTAGGACAAAATAATAATGCTGTGCATTTGGCACCAGTTTGAAATGGAAGATGCTAACAGCTCTCTTTTGAAAGAGACTTCTGTAAGCAACAAGAACTTGGCCTGCTTCTAATTCTTCGACATCATTTGTAGTATTAAAGGTAAAAATACCAGCATCACTCATTAGCTAAGAGGTAATGTTTTCTGTTGTTTCTTCAGCACTGAATTAGATGTTCACATGACTTTGTGTTTCTCTCTTTGGTCACCAATGGAGAAGTTTTCTTTGGAAACATTAGCATATAGAGAGGAACCCCTTCGTGGCAAAGAGAAAATAAATTGGAGGGTATTATTTTTGAAGTATTTTTGTATTGTAATAGGTTATTTTTGCAAAAGATTATAGGGATAAACCACTCTCTTACTTTTAAAATAATAAATCACATTAAAAATCTGCTTTAACTCAAATTGAAAATACGTAAGTACAGAAATATTATCCTACTTTTTCATAATGGATCAGAAATCACTTCCAACCCTAAAGTTACTTCAAGCAATATGGAGGAGAGAAAATAAGTAGAAATAATTCCTGATCTTCTTTCCATAATTAAGAAGAAAGTGAAATCACATTCTAATACACGTGCCAATCATGCAAATGTTTTCTATAGATCTTCACTGGTGAAAGGAAGCATTGAGAACTGTAGAAAATAATTCTACTGGTATTTTACAACATATAAACAGTGATATGAAAATACATACTTGCTATTTTATACCTACTCTGACTTCTATATGGCTCTGTTCTTGTAGGCATTCTAATTTTTATGATGATTACGAATGAGATAAGTAAATGATTCACAGGAAAGATATAAGAAAAAATGTATCACAAGGAAATGAATTAAAATATGATTTTTGATTCAGAGTAAAACTACAAATAAATTTCAATCTTCTTTTAAAGAAAAACTTCAAATCAGCATCAGTTATATAGCTACTTAGAAGAAACAAAATTTCAGGAAAAAAATATAGTGTGTTTTGTAAGCTTAAAAAAGAATAAATTAAAATGTTGGAGAAGGTCTGGTGAATTAGTTAAAGGAATCAGGCCTCCTAATCTGTATTGATATTCTAATATAAAGGAAAAAAATAGTGAGAATACAATAACTGTTAGGAGATACCTTCATACCTCATACTGTGAAGAAAATGCATGGCCTTAAAAACTTAGAGAAAAGCAGGAAAAAGAAAAATATAGAAAGTATACATACAAATCAATTTTACAGCAATGTTTTGTTTCTTGTTAGTACATGAAAAATCATTGGAGATTGTCAGTTACCCTACTAACAATGAGAACAAGCCAGATAAGCTACAAAATCATACTTTTAAAAAAAATTCATCAGAAAGCCAAGGACGCAAATAAATCTAAATGAACTAAATTCCATAAGTGACAAGCTCTTCCTAGGAGAGAAGGAACATGACTGTTTTTCATCCCTAGTGGAGCTGCCAGAGAAGAAATAACCAATATAACTTACTGGTTGTACACACCAGTAGGAAGACATTAGCCAAACTTTTTGAGAACTCATAATGGCAAGTGAGGGCTGGTATGGCAGATTAGAATCACAAGGAGCCCCAAGAAATGATTTCCACACTCATCTGCTGAGTGTTTCCCATGGACCTTCACTGAGTGCATGGAAATCATACACTGAAGGCTGGAGATGAGACAGGAGAGCAGAGGGAAATTCTGAGGTACTCCAGGTTGGAAGATTAAAGAGGTCTGTCACAAACTATTTGACATGATTCCTGTCAAGATACTGTCAAGATACAGTAATCTATAACCTTTCTCCTTAATCTAGGCAGGCTCTGTGGCTTATTTGGCCAATAGAGTAGGACAGAAGCAATCTAGAGCCAGTTTCTGATCTCAGACATTAGGAAATAAGCATTTTGGTAATTCTTGTTTTTTTTGTATTTTCATATAATTATACAATCAGTTTGTCTGTTTAGAGGTCTCTCACATCTTTGTTGAATTGTTTTCTATTTATTGCTCTTTGATGCTATGGTAAATGGCATTTTTAAAATTTAATTTCTAACTGATGGTTACTAATAGTGAGAATATAATTGATTTTTGTACATTGAATTATATCCAACAATTCTGTTAGATCCATTATAAATGTTTCTCTGTATATTATTTTTAAATTTCTAAAAGTCTGGCATCTGTGAAACATGACAGTTATCTAATTTTATATATTTATTTTTTAATATTATTGCTCTGGATAGAATCTGTAGCATGATGTTGAATGACAGTAGTGATAAATAAGCAACTTTGTTTCTGATCACAGTAAAAAAATGTCTTAAAACCTTACAATTATATATATTGTTTAATATAGGTTTTCTGTAGATAACCTGTCTCAGATTAAGGATGTTCCCTTCGATTCCTAGTTTGCTAATAGCGTTTTATCATAAATGGATGTTGAATTTTATCAAACACTTTTCCTGTATTTATTGAAAGAAGGTAGAAAATTATATATATATATGATATATATTGTATATATGTATTACATAATATATATACTGAAAGAATTCATATGAGATTGGTATTTTATATTCCATAAAATTTGGTAGAAATCATTGATGAATATAGAATTTTGTCAGAAAGCTTTTAGTTAGGATTTTTAAATTACTTTAATTAATAAAAATCTACTCACATTTCTTTTTGTGTCAATTTTGAAAATTTGTGATTTTCTAGGAAGTTATCAATTTCACTTACATTTTTATATTTATTCGAAAAAATGTCTTATTTAACATCTGTAGAATTATTGCAGTAAATAATTCTACATGATGGTAAATGTATTAATAACAAACAGCATATAATGTATCCATTTATGTATGTATAAGTTTATTATAAATTATACTGATATAAAGCATCTATAACATGTAATTTACAAATAAGAATGAAATAGACTACGTAATAATCTTTATTGTAAATCTTTATTGCAAATTTAACATTTGATCTCACTGAATTTTTTTTATTTTTGCCATTTTTTTTTTTTCTTTTTTGAGACAGAGTTTCACTCTTGTTGCCCAGGCTGGAGTGCAATGGCACGATCTTGGCTCACTGCACCCTCTGCCTCCTGGGTTCAAGCGATTCTCCTGCCTCAGCCTCCTGAGTACCTGGGATTACAGGCATCTGCCACCATGCCAGCCTAATTTTTTTTTTTTGTATTTTTAGTAGAGACGGGGTTTCACCATGTTGGCCAGGCTGGTCGTGAACTCCTGACCTCAGGTGATCCACCTGCCTTGGCCTCCCAAAGTGCTGGGATTACAGGCATGAGCTACCGCGACCTGCCCATTATTTTTGCCAAATTATTTTATCTATAGCCAATCCATAGTTGCACAGCAACCTTATTTTGACAATGGAGGTGCATCCTAATGTGCTATATTGCTTCCAAAAAAAAAAGTTTTATTAAATCGAATACATTATGTATTATTAAATAATTTCTCACTTTTTCATTAAAATTTTAAAATGAATCATTAATGAATTTAACGAATCATTAATGAATGTTCATTCATTAAACTGAATCTTCTTTCAGCCTCACTATTATGCATTATAATAGTGGATAATGCATATATATATAGAGAGAGAGAGAGAGAGAGTAGGAACTTCACTTGTCCTTCATGACATGAAAAACTTTTTTGCTGAATTGGATATTAATTTTCAAATATTTGAAGACTATTTCTTCAAATTTGTGTGCTATTAACAATGTAAATGGCTAGACTTGACACACTTAAGATTACTATGCATTAACATTTTATATATTTTTCATAATCTAGACAGTCAAGTAAACAATAAATCAAGCCCAGATTTTGAGGCATTTGCTGACTTCCATAGTGTAAATACTCCCACTGTGGCCAGTTTCGAGGTACCAATATGACATTATTAAACACGGAATTGGTAAGAGATGTGTGGTAGCACTCCATTGTATAGTATTTCCACCATACAGATGCAATCGGTGTGAATACCCACAAGAACATAGATACTACAAACTGTGGTAATTAGAAAGTAGCTTTGTTCTTATTTAATTGAAAGTGTATACAGTTTAATTTTAATAATGACTGTGTTTAAAAATTGGCTTGCAAATTCCTGAAAACTTAGCAATCAGCTCTCATGAAGCAGCATAAGCCTGCTACAGCATATCACCACATTATTGTAATGTCTCCTTTTTCGTTCCTGATGTTGGTAATTAACATGCATGCTCCCTTTTCATTTTTTTAAATCAATTTCACCATGAGTTTATTAGTTTCACAAGGCTTTGTAAGATAAATATTTTTCCTTTGTTGATGGTCTCTATTGTATGTAGTTCATTAATTTCTGTTCACCTTTATTTCCTTTCCTCTGCATTTACCTTGTTTTTAATTTGCTGTTCTTTAAGTTCTAGAGATGAAGGCTTAGGTCACTAAAATTTAGCATTTTCTTTTATAATATTTGTATTAAAGCCTATAAATTACCTTCTAAGAGTGTGTTAGTTGTATTTCACTTGAAAAAGCTACTTTTTCAAGGTTTTATAACGTCTTTAATGTTTAAAACTTTATTCGGGGCATACTTTACATATAATAAACTGTACATTTTAACAAGTACAATGTGATACATTTTGACATACACCTGTGAAACTATCACAGTCATGTACAAGGTTTTTGTGGACCATTGCTCTTGAGTAATTTCCTAGGAATGAAATAACCAGGTCATATGACAACTGTATGCTTAACTTTTTAAGAAACTGCCAAACTCTTTGCCAACATAGTTTTACTATTTTATGATCTAACCGGTAATTTATTTGGTTCTCAGTCTCATCAAAATTTCGTATGGTCAGTCTTTAATTTTAGCAATTTCAATAGCTATTTAATAGCATTTTATTTAGACTTAATTTGCATTTTCCGATATTTTATTCTTTTTTATTGCTGAGTAGCATTCTATCATATGGATATGCCACTGTTCATTTATCCATCACCCACTGAAGGACATTTGATTTGTGTCCAGTTTAAAGCAATTACGTATAATTTTCTATAACTGCTATAAACATTTACTTACAATTTTTGTGAACCTAAGTTTTTATTTTTCTTGGATAAATACCTAGGAGTGCAATTAAAGGGTCGTATGGTAAATGTACATTTAACATTATAATAAATTACCAAACTATTTTCAGAGTGGCTGTATTCCACTTGCCTATGTAGCATACTACGTTTATAGTAGGTTTCTTACAGGCAACATATGGTTGTGTCTTTTTTTTTTTTTTCACTCCAACGTAACAGTTGCTGCCTTTCCATAGGGGTGTTTAAACCATTTGCATTTAATGTGATTATTGAGAAATTTGGATTTAATTTACCATGTTGCTGTCTGTTTTCTGTCTTCTTTTGGATTAATTGAATAGTTTTATATTCTCTTTCCATTGTTGGCTTTGGCTACAACTTTTATTTTGGCCATTGCTTTAGGGGTTATAGTACACATCTTTAACTTATCAGAGTCTACATTATACAATTTCACGCATAATATAAGAACCTACAACACTATATGTTTCACACAGTGCATAAGGGTGCACCAGGTTAATTTCTGTGCCATAGGATTTCCCGCAGTGTTGTTCAATGGCTATGTCAGTACAATTTTACTCTTTTTTAAAAATTATTTGTTGTAGAGACAGGGTCTTGCTATCTTGCCCGGGCTGGTCTCAAACTCCTGACCTCAAGGGATCCTCTCTCCTTGGCTACTCAAAGTGCTGGGATTGCAGGTGTGAGCTATCATGCCTTGCCTAATTTCACTCTTAAATTATGTTTGTTTGAGTTTAATCTATAATACAAATTTTGATTATGTTTAACATTATTTTCCCTAATACCAGTTTGAAGTCTACTTAAGTTAGACAGCCCTACCATAAAGCAATTGGTATCAAGTTTCTCCTGAACTAGGTATGGTTTTGAGAAAACATGAGAACTCTAAAAAGTAAATGATAAAAAAGGTAACTAGCTGATATCAGGTTAAAATTTAAGTTATAATATTTTACAAGTAATAAAACAAGATTTTCTCTTTTCCAATGTAGAAGGGTAAGGAAGCCTTTACTATGTAATCTCAGAGAGTTTATAAAAAGAGTTTATAGTTTTCTATAAAATGTATGTATATATTTTTATAACTTTATTAGTCGGAAAGTATTTTAAAAATAAGAATCTTAGCTACACTGCCAAGAACAATGGCAAATAGATTAAACAGATATTTATTGAATGGCTATTCTATGCTAGGCATTGCTTGGCTCTTGGGTACATTCTTTAAAAAATTTTATTTTCCTTAATTATTCAAAACCAACAAACTATTTCAAAACAGCAGACTGTTTTATGCTCTTAATTTTGGATGGTTTAATTTCACATTCTACATATATTTAAAACTTTTAAAATAATGTATTCAATTCAATGACAGATATTTTTCTTTTATTTTTGGTTGATGTATAATCATTTTGTATATTTAAGGGACAGAGTGTGATATTTTGCTACACGTATACAATGTGTAATGATTAAATCAAAGTAGTTAGCGTATTCGTCATCTCAAACGTATTATTTCTTTATTATTGTGAATATTCAAAATCCTCTATTCTAGCTTTTTGAAAATATACAATAAATAATGGTTAACCATATTTATCATGCAGTGCTATAGAACACTAGAATTTATTTCTCTCATCTAGCCGTAATTTGTATCCATTTACCAACCTCTCCCTATCCGGTCCTCCCTCCTATCCTTCCCAGCCTCCAGTAACCACAATCCTACTGTCTACTTCTATGAGCTCCACTTTTTAAAGTTTCTACATATGAGTAAGAACATATGGTATTTCTCTTTGTATGCCTGACTTATTTCACTAAACATAATGTCCTTCAGGCTCGAGTGATAGACTTTTCTCTATCATCCTAACTGTTCAGCATCAAGTTTTTAAAAATTGATGGATTTTGACAGAATTCCTGACTTCCAGCCAATTTTAATGCTACATAGATATTACAAGAACATAAATATATGAATAATAAAATGTAAAAACTTTTTATTTGGAATCTGTAAGCCAAACTTACAAAGTTACCTACTGTAATTGAACCTGAGATAGAACCCCATTTATAAATACTACCATGTGTATAATTGTTCAGTTTTAATAAGGTGAGTGGAGTTTTTCTGCTTCATTTCAAATTAAACCCAAAGTATTTATTTTGTCTACTGAATATATTTTATTTGTATGTTCAAATATTTCATTTCTTTTTATTGCTGAGTAGCGTTCTATCGTATGGATATACCACTGTTCATTTATTCATCACCTACTGAAGGACATTTGATTTATCATTAAATATAATACTGAGTTTCCTCTCTATATTGAACTAGGTACAGTTTTGAGAAACGTTCCAGAAATGCCTATTTCTGAAAGGGAAATATTGTGAGACAAAATAAAATTTTTAGGCAAGTGTAGTAAATGCCATGTAGTAAAGTTTCCATCAAAATATTTTCATGGGTACTGAAGGAAATATTATGAGCCAGTTCTTAAGCATATTTTTGGGGAAGTGCTTAAAAGGTCTGAGAATGCTAAGGATGCTCCAGAAAGTACAAGTCTATTTTTCTATGTTTTAGGTACAAACCAACTGTCAAAATTACCTTGACTTTTAAGAGTTGAGAAAAACACATTTTAATAATCCTTAAAGCAAGTCATTTCTTGCAAAATTATTATTGCTTTTAAAAAGTTGATCTTTTTTTTTTTTTTTTTTTTGAGACAGGGTCTTGCTTTGTCACCCAGGCTGAAGTGCACTGGTGTGATCATAGCTCACTGTAACCTTGAACTCCTGGGCTTAAACAGTCCTTCCACCTCAGCCTCCCAAGTAGCTCCCATGTACCACCATGTCTGGCTATTTTTTTTTTTTTTTTTTTTTGGAGAGACAGACATGGTATTTACTAACACTTGCCTAAAATTCTTATTTTGTCTCATAATAGATCCCTTTCAGAAATAGGCATTTCTGGAGAATTATAGAGAGAAAACTTAGTATTATATTTAATGACAAATCAAATGTCCTTCAGTGGGTGATGAATAAATGAACAGTAGTATATCCGTATGATAGAATGCTACTCAGAAATAAAAAGAAACAAAATATTGGAAAATGAAATTAAATATATTGAGTAGGCAAAATAAATACTTTGGGCATACTACATTGCCCAGGCTGGTCTTGAACTCCTAGGCTCAAGCAATCTCCTGCCTCAGCTTCCCAAAGTGCAGGGATTACAGGCATGAGTCACCACGCCCAGCCAAAAAGTTGATTTTAATTAATTTTTTTCTTTTTTTTTGAGATGGAGTCTCACTCTGTCACCCGGGCTAGAGTGCAGTGGTGACATCTTGGCTCACTGCAACCTTTGCCTCCCGGGTTCAAGCGATTCTCATGCCTCAGCCTCCTGAGTAGCTGGGATTACAGGCATGTGCTCCATGCCTGGCTAATTTTTTTTTTTTTAATTTTTTAGTAGAGATGGGGTTTCACCATGTAGGCCAGGCTGGTCTCGAACTCCTGAGCTCAGGTGATCCACCCGCTCAGCCTCCCAAAGCGCTGGGAGTACAGGTGTGAGCCACCACGACTGGCCAAAAGTTGATATTTTTAACATAGAACTTTGTTAGTCACACTAGAGGACTGTTCTAAAGGGTTTTGATAACAGAGTTTGGTAAGTGAACCCTCAAAAATTGTACCCGGATTTGTTTTAAAGGAAACATAATTAACCAAAGAAGTTAGACTGTAGCTGGGAAGTTCTACAACTTACATATCTAAAACAGGTTGAAAACAAATGGGAAGGTGTAAAACATTCTCGCCAAAGGGTTAAGATCAATCGTAAATATCACACCAGACCAAAGAATAATGGAATCATGTATTGTCTGCAGACATGCATCTCTGTGCAGTAAGAGTTTGATCCTAAGGTTATTAGTGAGTTAAGATTTAGCCCCTGAAATGGACTCCAGGTAAGGCAGTTCATGATTGTTCATTTAACATGCCAAATCAGTGACTAAACTACACAATAATTTGATTGATAAGTGCTGTTACTAAGACGAGTGTCAAAGGTAGGCTTAGTTCAAGGTACGCCAAGTTAAGACTGAGTCTCTCATCACAGGATTATGAAACGTAAGGCCAGACCCTGCTTAGTGAGCTGGTCTACTGTACCTTTCAGAGGTAGATTACCTTTTCCAAGCTGTCAGAATCCATTTCCAAATACCATCTGCTGGGAGGCCAAAGGAAGTAGAAAAATCAGTCCCTTGCTCTTAAAGTGATTAAAATCTAAGAGACAGAAGCTATACAATAAGACCTATTATCCTTCGTGGTTGGTAAGCTGTAGACAATCAAATACTGCTGTCAGGGGTCCACGTATGTTTAAAGAATTAGAAATAAAAACAGTTTTAACTCTACATGTCGTAATATATAGTCATAAAATATGTTTGTAATGATTCAAAAAGTACGTTAGTATTTTACAGTGCCTCAAAGTCACCATTGCAACCAATTGTCCTCATATTTACTGATCAGTTCAGACCTGCTAAGGGACCTTTATAAGCTCAGTAGAGACCAAGCCCCTGTAAAAAAGGAGCAGACTCTATGAAGGGAATTTCTCCACCTGGATTTTCCCTAATCCACCCTCAGGCAGAAGCCCCTGTCTTTGGTGGTCCCCAGTTACGACTCCCTTATACTCTGATCTGTTTTCTATGCGTTTATGTCCTGGGACCCCAGAATGAAATCATTTGTTGGGAAAGTTTTGTTATTTTCCCAGTCTTGGTCTGTTGCAGACGCAGTCTTAAGTTCTCCCTTTGTTGTATACCTAAAGCCCACAGCAAGTCTTTGTTCATTTCTTTGCTGATTCCTGAGAAATGGAGGTTATTATCCTAGGAGTAGATATCATATGCTACTACTGCCATTTCCAGGCTTTAACGAAGGAGGGCCTTCCTGTGGCTCTAGGGTAAAAGACAGACTTATAAACATGAGAAGGAGCTGGGGAGCACTGGGTAACCCAAACAAAACCAGCAAGCCCATCCCCCAGCCAGGGCCTTCCCCCCTTGTATGTGTATGGCAGTTTGAGCCTTGTACTTGAAAGGGGCCCAGGGTGCAGAATGACCATAACCAGCATCACTGTTGAGAAAGGTTTGCTGCATATTCCAAATATGCTACTAATATAGAGTTGTCATCGTATCCAGAAGGTGAAATAATCATCTGGAATTTCAGAGAAAATCCATTGAAAAACGCAGAGTATGAGTATGAACAAATCACAAAAGAATATGCAAAGGCTAAGACGTAGTTTCTTGAAAAAGTATACTTCGACAGCAATAAAAATACCTAATAAAGCAAATTATAATTTTCTTCCTATAGCAGTAAATAATTTTTAAAAATAATCCTTTCTTGCAATGATATGAGAAATAAGAATTGCTAGTATAAATGTGAATTGGTAAACTATTTCTAAAAACCAAATATGTGATTTTTGTCAAGAGCATTAAAATGTTTTTAATTTATGATGCAATAAATCTATTAAGGAGATCCATGCTGGTGAAGTAATCAGAGATAGTGACAAATATTTATACAAAAAAGTCCTTTTCTGCATTATTATAGAGAAAAAGAAATAGCCTAAAGGAAAATGAGTATTAATAAAAAGAAATGTTACTCAGCCATGTACACATTAAAAAAAAACAGAGACATGAGGAAATGTTCATAATCTAATATTTGGTTTAAAAAAAGCGTGTGTGTGTGTGTGTGTGTATGTGTGTATGTAACAGAAAGAATACACACACACACACCCCCTACACATTCTTTGTGTGTAGCATACTAGCATAGCATTACTATTTCTCATTTTAAAGGTTGTCAGTTACCTGCACAGTGAAATAGCACATGGGTAAAATTTAATTTTAAATAAAATTATGGCATGTTTATATAATGCATTTTGTGAATCTTTGTAACATGTTTTCATCAAATATTTTCATAAAGTCAATACTCAATTACCTTATACTTTTTTCTAGGGCCTAATGTGAGGTTAGTTGTATGTAATTGCCACTCTTTTGAAACACCAGGGGAGAGACAGAAAAAAAAGGAGAAACAATACTGGATTGTTAGTTTTATTAGTCTGTGATGCTGCTCTGCCCAATGGCAATCTCATTGTTGCACTGCTCCCTAACCTCTCTAGGATTAAGAGTCTGGGGAATAACTGCTTCCTTTTTGTCAAAATAAAAATGTGAAAACTTACTTTGTAAACTGAACAAAAAAACTTAAATGAGATAATAAAGAGTAACCTCAGAACATATCAATCTAAATATGGAAAGATAATAAGGTGAAAAATGAGAGAATGTATGCATCCATTGCCTGGAAAAAAATGAACATCAAAATAACTACTATTCCCAGAGGTCAGACAACTTAATGCCTTTGAGGTTATATGGTCTGGGCTCTATTCCCAGCTCTGTGACTTACCAACTGTGTTGTTTGGGACAAACTGCTTTATGCTTTTTTTATTTTTTTATTTTTTTGAGACGGAGTCTTGCTCTGTCTCCCAGGCTGGAGTGCAGTGGCGTGACCTCGGCTTACTGCAAACTACACCTCGTGGGTTCAAGTGATTCTCCTGCCTCAGCCTCCCGAGTAGCTGGGACTACAGGTGCCCGCCACCATGCCCAGCTAGGTTTTGTATTAGTAGAGACAGGATTTCACCGTGTTAGCCAGGATGGTCTTGATCTCCTCGCCTCGTGATCTGCCCACCTTGGCCTCCCAAAGTACTGGGATTACAGGCGTGAGCCACCGTGCCTGGCCTGCTTTATGCTTTTTAAGCTTATTTTTATTTTGTAGGATTCTGCTTAGCTCTGGAGGCTTTGGTAGTATTCAATCAGATTATATATACTGTATAAAGCATTTACTTTCCCAGCAAATCAGAACAATTAGAGGAAAGGGGGAAGGGTGTTGATGCTGATAGTAGAAATGGTGGTGGTGTCTGTGATCATTAAGGTGAATGATTTATATTCAGACATGTAAAATGACTTCTCCCCTCCTTTATGTCTCATCTATGGCACACCATTTAATTATCAGTTTGTCTTAAACAGCAAAAATTGACCAGAGAACAGGATTATAGTGAAGACATAATCAAGGTATAAAATGTTTTATGGGAAAATATTATTTCATCTTAGAGAAAAATACAAGTATTATTTTAGAAACTGAAATTTATAAATCTTCACCTGTCATTAATAAAGTGGCATTGTATATCAAGAGTGTTAATATCATATTTAAAAATTAAAAATGTAGCTGAATTTAAATAATTTAACTTGGTTACATTAGTGGAGTCTAATTGATGGAGTCTAATATTAATAGGGAGAGGCAAGGTAAGGAGAGAAGAGGTTAGGAAACACTCCAAAAGTTGTTATGTCTTTCTGGGTTATGGAGGAGATAGCTTCTTTCATTTTTCACATTTCTTTTTGTTGTATTTGATATTTTCAATAATATATTTATGACTATGCATTGCTATGGCAATCAGAAAAAAATTAAAATTATCTCATGTTTTAGTATGTTTCCACATAAGGTATGTTTCTATAGGCCTCAGAAGGTAGCTTCCGGATGAACCGAATATACTTTAGCAGTCACCAGACACATGAACTCAGCCCCCTTCACCAACCCTGATCCCAAACCATCACTTTCAAATCCTCTCTGCACCATAATTTTCCTTGTAAGGAAGGAAACCAGGGGCATTAAGTGAGTTGTTGGGCTGCATTGTGAGTGGAATTGCACCCCCTCCTCCTTCCTCCCCTCCCCGCAAAATGCCCACATCTCACCTACTGGAACCCATGAATATGACCTTATTTGGAAAAGGGATCTTTGCAGATGTGATTAAGTTAAAGATCTTAAGATGAGATCATCCTGGATTACCTGGCCCACCTAAATTCAATAGCCAGTATCTTTATATATTGTCTTTATAAGCCACAAAAGAGAAGCCACAGGGGAGGAAAAGAAAGTCACGTGAAGGGGGAACAGAGGTCAGAGTGATTAGGCGCAATCCAAGGAATTCCAAGAGCCACCAGAAGCTGGAAGATGCAAGGAAGGATTTTCTCCTGGAGTCTTTGGAGGAAGAGCAATTTTGCCCACACCTTATTTTTAGACTTCTGGCCTCTAGAACTGCACTGTGACAGAAACCATTTTGTTTGAAGCCACTCAATTTGCGGTGTTTTTTTACAGCAGCCCCAGAAAACTCACACAGGCAATGGGGAAATTAACCCCCTATGAAATAACTTCTCTAAGTCAGCACCAAGTGAGCCCACTGCACCCTTTCCTTTGTAGAGCTACTGTCTCCTCAGAGCTCCTGCTTTCCAGGGCAGACTGCAAATCAGCACCTCCTTTTTCCATATACTTCTTCCCTTGTTTCCTGATCTTGGAAACAGTGGTTCTCAACCTGAGGTCACGGATGCCTAGGGACAGAATGCTATGGCAGCCATGTGTCTCTAGACTCCTCTAGGCACTCTTCCATCTCCAGTGTATGAGTTAGAGTTTTAGCAATATTTGTAGATGAAGTTAGTGAAATAAAATGCTTATTTCAAATGGTTCTCAAGTTTGGGTGGATATGTATGTTCTCAAGAGATGTTAAACAAGTGTTATCTTAAGGGAAATGGGGTACCCAAAACTTTTTGACAAATAAAAGAGGTCTTTACGTTTAAAAGATTGAGGCCACTGCTTTAAAATGAACAGTAACATCATTTATCCAGTGTAGAAAGAACCATTCTCTCTTCTGAACCAACTAGCAACTACTGCACATTGGTATTCAAATTTGCCATTAATTCTAGCATTGAAGGATGTGTGGATAAATGAATGACTTTCAAAACCCTGTGATTACTTGAAGAGACTGTCATTTGTGTATTAGGTCCCAGAGAATACAAAAATCAATGTGCAATTGAATGGATTAAACATTTTAAAAAATTGATCAATTAAGGAGACAATAGTATCTCTGGATGTATCTTGGATCACTTTTTAGCTTTGGGAATCTTGGGTAAGCTACCTAATCCCATTCAGCTTTGGCTTCCTAAACTGTAAAGTGAGCTCTTCCATGGAGCTGTAGAGAAGACTAAGTCAGAGTGTGAAGTGAATGGCCCATGAGGGGGCCCAATGCACAAGAGATACGGTAACTTCAGCCTGTCCCTTTGCTCTCTATATGGGGTGCATCCATGAGTTAGTGAGTTTGCAATCACTAGAGTAACTCTAGGGAGAAATACTAACTCTCCCAGCCCAGACATGAGTTATTTGGTTCTTTTTGGTACTCTACAACAGGCAATTTACCTGAAAGTTTGTTGTTTTCTTATTGGTTTTTAGGAGAATGCCCACAATCACATTAAAGTTATTGGCTCATATATGATTAAAAAGAAATCTCTGACTTTCTGTAAACAGACCTTTTGTTTCTCTAGTACTTGAAAAGCAATTACTATATCGTTTTATAAATAAACCTATGTGCTCAAATTTACACAAGCATCTTGGTTTCAGAGGTAAAATAAATGACTAAATATAAAGCCAATGGGAAGATGGGGTGGAGTGAGGCATTTTCTAATGCAATCTGTTGAACCTAAGGGTGGGTTATATGCTTATGGTCTTTATTCAGTGAGACAAACCTGGTCTGTTTATTAGGTTTATTTAAGTAATTAGTTGTAAAATGCAGTTGGAATTTTTTAAGCCTATGGTAGTTATTCTTTATGGGTCTGGGCCCTGAACAAAAATATTTCTTTAAATTTTTTATTTGAAAATTGCTTTCTTCAGGTGAGCTCTGGCAAACACTGTAAAAATGTATAAATCTGGAACACTAGGAAGTATAGAAAAGGGAAGGAAATTACCTCACCTTGGCAGGAGGCACAATGTTACTTTCTTTAAATAAAATGCATCCTCTGTCCTGAATCACCCAACACAGCCCAAACGAGCATTTCATTGTATTCTGTCACTTAGCCCTGCCAGCCAGAGAAGGGAGCTGACACTGTGTACCTGAGGGCACAAAGAGCCTATGTGTCCCCACTCCGGTTTTCACATTCCTTAGAGGGCTTGAGGGGAGAGCTGCTTTGTTATTTTTCTCAAGTCCTGTCACAAATGGTCTTTGACAGAGATGCCCAGAAGGCCTGAGCTAGTACCGCTGGGGCTGGTGGGCACCAGAGGTACCCCACGCCCATGACGCAGGAGGTGGAAAGGGGCTCTTTCTGAAGGCACCAGTGATTGTCCCTGGCTCTGGCAAAGAAAAGTCATTTGTCAGGGGAAAAGCAAACATCCATGACTGAATGGAAAGGAAGTTATGACAGAAAGAAGGACCAGGCTTAGGAGAATACAAGGACAGGTCATAGATGTCTCTTGCCACCTCTGGCAAAGGGCTACAACAGTTTCCATAACTTTCCAGTCAGTCAGCCAGGTGGTAGATTTTGTAATGAGAGAACATTTTCCCCAAGCCTTTTTCCATGCATTTTCTCTATGATTCCAAAAAAGCCTGTGTCTCAGTGAGTACAGTGGTAAGGAATGTCATCCCTACATTAGTGCCACACTTGGTATATGCAGCACATCTTATCAAAGATTCCAATGATGATAATTCTGTACCCTTGCATTTCTACACATCATGACTACCACAATTCATTGTGGCATTTTGATAGTTAAGAATTAAGCTATTAAATATAAACTGTAAATATATGCCACAATCGGGCACCTGTAATCCTAGCTACTCAGGAGGCTGAGGCACAAGAATCGCTTGAACCCAGGAGGTGGAGTTTGCTGTGAGCTGAGATCATGCCACTGCACTCCAGCCTGGGCGACAGAGTGAGACTTTGTCTCGAAAAAAAAAATTATATATATGTGTGTGTGTGTGTGTGTGTGCCACAATTATTAGAGACCAGGTTTAGCATGACTGTTTTTTAATACAGCAAGTGACCCTGATGTCTCTTGAACTCCCCGTTTTAGCCCTAGAAGATTGTTAAGAGAAGCCAAATGTATTGCAGCCTTTGATAATGTGATTCAAAAAGCATCTATTTCACCAGTTATTCTCATATCAGCCTCCATAGCCACCAGTCTTTGCTCATCTCAGTGTCACTGGCACATGGCAAGGACAACTAAAGGTCACATGCATCCAGGCTAAGGCACACTTCAGAGAAACACAGGCAATTCTCTCCCTTATGAGGAAATGTGTATCATTTGTGTGAGTCTCTTCATAGGAATGAAGATCTCAAGGTGGTAAAATATGTATTTCCTTATTGATATTGAAGACTTCAGGGTCTTAAGAAATATTTCAAGGAAGGAGTTGTGATTAGAAAAGTTTCTAATGAGAGTCCCTGTGAATTTGACAAAAGGAAGTGATATTTGACAGTAAAGGTGATTAATGGAGCTGTGGAACAGAGGCCAATGAAATTCATTTCTTCCCTTTCCTCTGGAGAGTTAGTAATGAGGCCAGTGACTTTCTCCAGCTCTCAAACTGAAATTTTACTCTGTCAATCATTGACTTCTCTCCTAGTAAAAACAAAATAGAATACAGCTATTCAAATTCTTGTTACAAATATTCCATCAGCTCTTACAAGGGATTCAGAGCTGGATAATATATACCCCCCCTATATAATAGCAGAGTCATGAGAGCAGAACTAGTTAGTCTACAAACAGACCTTCTCTCACTTATTTTAAAAATCTGCTTTATAACACTTACCTTAGTGAAATTTGATACGAGGTAAAGAAAACAGAGATTATGTGTGAATTCATGTGAATGAATTATGAAACAGTAGTTGGAATGTTTAAGTGAAATTCTGAGTTAGTAATGATGAGGAGGGAAGTATAGAAATGAAAACAACAACAGATCTTTAAACAAATATCTAAGATGGAAAAGTATGAGGATCATTTGATCCAGAGCATCCAATATATACGGAGTAAAGTATAAAAGCATGAAATATAAGTAGATTGGAGCATATTGTAGATGATCTTGCATGTCTAAGGGTGAGTCAATTGTCTACTCAGTAGGCAATAGGAAATTATGAAAAGTTTTAAAAATAAAATGCCCTTTTGGAGTTTTACCACGTTGGCAGCCATGGTTTGGATTGGGGGAGGAAAGGCAATAGTCAGACATCCAATTTGAGGATTTTGGAAATAATCTAAGTGAGATATGATTAGGACTTAAATTAAGATGGCCACAATGGTAATAAAAAGGTAGGGACATGTGTGAGTGATTGTAGAATAATTGTCTCCTCTAATCTATGTCTTCCTTCACCCCTCTATATCTAAACATAACTGTAGTCTAAAGATAGAGAAGCCAAGGGATCCGTTGATGGGTCTTTAAAAATAAATATGAAAAGAGAGACGTGGAGGAAGCTAATTTCAATAGAAAATGCATAAGACGTTAATAAACATGTTAACCACTCAGATCCAGCTTGTCTTGAGCAATTGTGTATAACGTTTCCTTTGTAGACAATTTTGTTTAAGTAAAAAGTTGAGTCCATTTAAAGAAAAATCTTTAATAAATTAAAGAATATGGCAAAAACATCAAGTTGCTTAACAAATGACTGAAGTTTGAACAACACTGATTAGATGAACAGGATTGACTTTGCTAATGCCCTAAAATTATGTTGAGTTTTCCTGCACTGACTTGTGCAACGACCCACCTGACATCATTTGCCCGCATCTTCATATCTAACATGAGGCTGTCCAGGTATAGGAGGGTCTGTTACCCATTGCTTAAAAGAAAAACAAAACAGCAAACCAAAAAACCTGAAATGGTAGAGTAGCCAACACCAGCACTGTAGAATTCAAATAAGCATGAATTATATTTTTTGCTTTCATTATTCATGATTAAATTGTGTCACCCTAACAAAATCATCATCTCCCTAAGGCTAAGATAGCTGGAAACTATTGTGGATAAAGCATGGGTTCAGAATTGAGTCCTGGCTTCAAATCCGGGTTCTGTCACTGAGCATCTGTGTGAACTCCAGCAAATCTTCTGGCCACTTTGAGCCCTAAGGAGGATCATAATGCTGGCTCCATGGGGTAGCCTCCCTTAGAGGTTGACAGGGACCATATCTGGTCCTGTCTCCCAGCACTCGTGGGAGGCATGGCTCCTGCTTGCTCTCCAGCCCCATCTCCTCTGCCGGGCTGCTTTCTTACTGTGATCTCACTGTGATCCTTCCTCCCTGCTCTTCTCCCTGTCCCTCAAGGTCCCCTTTTCATCCCACCTTGGGACCTTGGTATTTGGTTCTCTTCTGCCTGGAATTCTCTTATTTCAGGTATCTTGCTTCCTCACATCAAATAATCTTCAGCTTAAACATAATCTCTCCAGGGGTGATTTGCCAGATGCCTTATCAAAAACCATTGCCATCACCACCAACAACCCTGTTTATCTCCTCTCCCATTTAAATTTTATTTATCATTTCCCAATTGCCATCTGAAATTGCATCAGGATTGCTATCAGAAATTGCCTTGCATTTGCTTTCTCGTTGTCTGTTCTCCCATAGAAGGGAAGGATTTTTTTCTCTCTAGTTCAGCACTCTATCATCAACACCTGGAACAGCATCTGATGCCTATTGGGTACTTGGTAAATACTTACTAAATATCATTATTATTAATAAATGAATAAAATGAAATAATTCTACAGAAATTTTGAAAAACCAATGTAGAATTTACTGAGTACTTACTAAGTACTAAGTGGAGAGAGATTCAAAGCCAATGTAAAAAAATAGTTTGCCCTAGGTGGGTCGTATAAGCATAAAAAATTCCCATTTGCTATTTTTCTTCCTTGTTTCCTGATTGGAAGTTATTAGTAGATCACTGTAGACTGTAATTACAGGGGAGAGCACAGAAGACATTAAGCAGATAGAGAAGCCTGGGAGGGCTTCAGCAAGAAGAAAGTGGAAAGGCACTGGAGGCTGGGCCCCAAGCTGGCAGTCAGTGTGTCTAAGGCACTGTTCAAGGTCCTCATGACAGATCCCATCAGAGCCACATGTGCCACATCTCTGCTCACTGCCCGATGCTAGCACAACCCCAGGTGAGAGGATGGGACGTAAGTCTTTTGTGCCTTCTGTTTTCCTCATGTCTCTAGTCGGGCTCTTTGGGAGAATGCATGTGAGCATGTGTGTTTCTTTTCCTTGGCTCCCAAGTCAAATCAGTCCACTCCTGGTACTTGGCAACCCAGCACGCTTCCTCCCACTAACGACAAGCCTGTCTGCAAAACAGAACAACATCTTTGAGATGGGGTGTTTATCTGGGCAGCACACAGCCTCTGCAGCCCACAGGGGCCCCTCCTTCAAAGGCATTGCTGAACAGGGCTCACCTGATGAAAGCCTGAACTGTGCATGCTTGACTTGATTTACGGGCAATGGCCAGCTCATTAGGCACACTGGCCTGAGGAAGCCAGCCAGCTGTGGGGACAAATGTTTTCGGAGCTCTGTGGTGCCCACAGGGCTGCTTGTAGCTGGGGGACAAGAGTACAGTGGGGACAGTGATAAGGAACTCTGGAATCCAAGCCTGGCTCAGGGAGCCTTAACTACCCACGAGATTGATATCTAGGGTGCAAAGGCTATAAAAATTAGATTAACTTAGCTCAGCTGTGCTCACTGAAGGATTAGGTTGCAGCTGGTGCTGAAACATTAGCAATCAGACCTCAGAGATGGGGAAAAGTGTCACGTTGGAAGGAAGGGAGTAAGATGAATCACCTCTCAGCATGCCTGCTCCCCAGGAAAATGATAGCTTATAAAGGTAGTCTTGCATTACAGATAATCCTATAGAACACCAGTAAGAAAGCAAGTTATGTGTTCCTTGAGATATGGCATTAGAAATTGGGATCACATCTTCTAATTCTGGGAAAGTCACCTGGGACAAACCGCTTTAAAAACATTCCCAACTTCCTCCATGAAATAAGACCAAACACTAAAAAATATTTCAGATAACCTGAAAAACAAGTCAACTCTGAATTCTAGTATTTTAAGATATTAGTTCCAATAATCCCAATTGTCCATTGATGATTTTTCTGTGGCCCTGGACCTTGGTCTCCCAAGTTCATCTCCTTAGAAAATATCTTCACCTGGAAGATTTTCTACAAAAATTCCTCACATTCCCAGTTTGCTGCTTAGGTGGAAAGTCTAGTAGACTTCACATTCCACATCACATACAGTACAAGAAGGACAACACGTTTCTCACCAGAAGCCCATTGCTTCATGTTAATTTTGAAAGGAACAGCTCTTAAGCATACTCTTCAGTAAACTGTCAACTCTTTTCACCTCTTTTGATAAAGCTTCTTTTAAAAGTTACCATTTACTGAACACTTACTATGTGCCAGGCACTGTGCTAATGCTTTATGTAACAAGGGGAATCATTATCCAAATTTATATGTGTTGTTCAAGAGTAATTATTAGTAAAGCTACTTACTTTCACAAAAGCATCTAGGTTTGGATTATAAATGCTTATGCTCAGCATATATATAATTAATTCACAGATTAGATGTACGCGTGTGTTATTATTAACTAGGTGCTCAACCAGTGGTGATATTGTGAACAACAATAAAGGTTCTGACTATAAAACTGAACATGGAATATAGAAGAAGCAAAGCCTAGATCAATAAAAGCCCACTTCTTACAATGTTTCTTATTCAGAATGTGAATGCCATTTGAGAGGTTAGGTTAAAGCTGACACAAAAGAGATCACTGGCTTTTTAAACTGAGAACTGTAGAGGGTTTACCTCAAGGAAGGCAGTTTGCTGGGGAGTGACACCTTGCATGATCGAATAAGGACTCACAGAAAATTGATGTCCGAGTTATCAGCCCTCACCCTGTCATGGACCAGTCCCATGATCCAAGGGAAATCATTTCATTTTTCTTTCAAGGTGCATATGTTGTTCTGTTTATTTTTTGCACAAGGAAACACTGGAAGTTTAACAAGGAACTGAAAGAAAAAGGTTATCTATGGAGTATTTTGGAATGAAGTGGAGGGGAAAGGGAATTATGTGAGATTTAGAAATCAATATATGCCTATTTTTTTATTTTTGTTTACTTTATGTATATCTTATTTATTTCAATAGGTCTTTGGGGAACAGGTGGTGTTTGGTTACATTTGTAAGTCTTGAGTGGTGATTTCTGAGATTTTGGTGCACCCATCACCGGAGAAGTGTACACTGTACCCAATGTGTAGTCTTTTATTCCTCAAACCCCTCCCACTTTTTCCCCAAGTCCCCAAAGTCCATTGGATCATTCTTATGCCTTTCCTCCTCATAGCTTAGCTACCACTTATGAATGAGTACATACAATGTTTGGTTTTCCATTCCTGAGTTACTTCACTTAAAATAATGGTGTCCAAGGTGTCCAATTCCATCCAGGTTGCTGTGAATGCCATCATTCTTTACTTTTTATGGATGAGTAGTATTCTATGGGATGTGTGTGTGTATATATATATATATACCATGTTTTCTCTATCCACTTGTTGATTGATGGGCATTTGGGCTAGTTCCATATTTTTGCAATTGCGAATTGTGCTGCTATAAATGTGTGTGCAAGTATCTTTTTCATATAATGACTTCTTCTCCTCTGGATAGATACCCAGGAGTGGGACTGCTGGATCAAATGGTAGACCTACTTTTAGTTCTTTAAGGAATCTCCATGCTGTTTTCCATAGTGGTTGTACTAGTTTACATTCCCACCAATAGTCCAGGTGTGGTGGCTCATGTCTGTAATCCCTACACTTTGGGAGTCCCAGACAGGTGGATCATTTGAGGCCAGGAGTTCAAGACCAGCCTGGCCAACATGGTGAAGCCCTGTCTGTACTAAAAATACAAAAAAAAAAAATTAGATGGGCATGGTGGTGCATGCCTGTAATCCCAGCTACTCGGGAGGCTAAGGCACGAGAATCGCTTGAAGCCAGGAGGTGGAGGTTGCAGTGAGCCAAGATTGCACCACTGCACTCCAGCCTGGGTGATGGAATGAGACTCTAACTTTCCCACCAACAGTGTAAAAGTGTTCCTTTTTCCCCACTTCCATGCCAACATTCGTTATTTTTTGATTTTTTGATTATGGCTATTCTTTCAGGAGTAAGGGGGTATCACATCATAGGTTTGATTTGCATTTCCCTGGTAATTAGTGATGTTGAGCATTTTTTCATATGTTTGTTGGCCATTTATATATCTTCCTTTGAGAATTGTCTATTTATGTCCTTAGCCCACTTTTGGATGGGATTGTTTGATATTTTTTCTTGCTGATTTGAGTTCCTTGTAGATTCTGGATATTAGTTCTTTGTCTGATGTATAGATTGTGAAGATTTTCTCCCAATCTGTGGGTTGTCTGTTTACTCTACTGATTATTTCTTTTGCTGTGCAGAAGCTTTTTAGTTTAATTAAGTTCCATCTATTTATCTTTGTTTTTGTTGCATTTGCTTTTGGGTTCTTGGTCATGAAGGCTTTGCCTAAGCCAATATCCACAAGAAGTTTTACATTGTTTTCTTCTAGAATTTTTATGGTTTCAGGTCTTAGATTTAAGTCTTTGATCCATCCTGAGTTGATTTTTATATAAGGTGAGAGATGAGGATCCAGTTTCATTCCTCTACATGTGGCTTGCCAATTATCCCAAAACCATTTGTTGAATAGGGTGTCCTTCCCCCACTTTATGTCTTTGTCTGCTTTGTCAAAGATCGGTTGACTATAAGTATTTGGTTTTATTTCTGGGTTCCCTATTCTGCTCCATTGGTCTATATGCCTATTTTTATACCAGTACCATGCTGTTTTGGTGACTATGGCCTTAGTTTGAAGTCAGGCAATGCGATGCATCCAGATTTGTTCTTTTTGCTTAGTCTTGATTTGGCTATGCAGGCTCTTTTTTGGCTCCATATGAATTTTAGAATTGTTTTTTCTAGTTCTGTGAAGAATGATGGTGACATTTTGATGCACAATGCATTGAATTTGTAGGTTTCTTTTGACCATATGGTCATTTTCACAATATTGATTCTACCCAAGCATGAGCATGGGATGTGTTTTCACTTGTTTTTGTCATCCATGATTTCTTTCAGCAGTGTTTTGTAGTTTTCCTTGTAGAGGTCTTTCACCTCCTTGGTTAGGTATATATATATATTTTGCAGCTATTGTAAAAGGGGTTGAGTTATTGATTTGATTCTCAGCTTGGTCACTGTTGGTGTATAGCAGAGTTAGTGATTTGTGTACATTACATTTGTATGCTGAAACTTTGTTGAATTCATTTATCACCTGTAGGAGCAAGGAGTCTTTAGGGTTTTCTAGGTATACGATCATGCCATCAGCAAACAGCGACAGTTGGACTTCCTCTTTACTGATTTGGCTGCTCTTTATTTATTTCTCTTTTCTGATTGCTCTGGCTAGAACTTCCAGTACCATGGTGAATAGAAGTGGTGAAAGCGGGTATCCTTGTCTTATTCTAGTTCTCAGGGGGAATGCTTTCAACTTTTCCCTGTTCATTATAATGTTGGCCATGGGTTTGTCACAGATGACTTTTATTACCTTAAGGTATATCCCTTCTGTGCTGATTTTGCTGAGGGTTTTAGTCACACGGGATGCTAGATTTTGTCAAACGCTTTTTTCTGCGTCTATTGAGATGATCATGTGATTTTTGTTTATAATTCTGTTTATATGGTGTATCACATTTATTGACTTGCATATGTTAAACCATTCCTACATCCCTGGTATAAAACCCACTTGATCATGGTGGATTATCTTTTGATAATGCTGTTGGAGTCAGTTAGCTAGTATTTTGTTGAGGATGTTTGCATCCATGTTCATCAGGGATATTTGTGTGTAGTTTTCTTTTTTTGTTATGTCCTTTCCTGGTTTTCTTTCAGAACATTCCTCATTTGTAAAACATAAGCATCAAATTAGATAATCTACAGAAAATTTCACTGAAAATTATAAAACCTTAAACTTATGAATAAAGTCTACATCTCAGAAAGGTTGTGATATTTCCCAACTCACACATCTACTAAGTAGTAAAGGAGAAAACCAACACTCATGCCTCGCAGTCTCTACCTCAGTGCCTCTGTCACACACTCCGTATTCTTGTAAGGACTGGTAAAAAAGTGCAGGTCCTTGATAGAATGAAAAGTAAAATCAAGGAATAGCCACAAACCACTATTTAAACAGAGCCACAAAATCAAACATTTACAAATGGCAAAATTAACATTCTTGGATTAAGTTCAAAGGCAAGCAAAATGGTGTGCAACCAGAACTGCTTCAACATAGAAATTCATGGGGTGATGGTCCCAGGGTCACACTGCCTCTCAGAGAACAGGACTCTCATTTAAATAACCCTAAATTCAACCAGCACAGAAATGTAAGAAGACTTAACTTCTGCAAAAAGACCACTCATAACAGCAAGAGGAAGCCGTTGTTAACTTCTAAGAAAACTGCACCAGTACAGTGGTAATGCAGAAATAAGACTCTGGGACAGGAGTTTTAAATCAAAATACCTGCAAGGGTGAGAAATTGCATAAATGAATGAAGTAGGCTGGGGATAAAAGTGCAGAGCATTGAGACTGTGGCAAATACAAAAGCAGATGCTGTATCATTACTCAGCTTCAGTCCACTGGGGCCATGTCCAAATGCATGACCAATGGGGTCTGAACTAACAGTTTTTCAAGAAAAGACAAAAGATTTTATGCAAATTCTCTTTTTAATGCTTACAAGAAAGTTAAAACTCTGTTCAGGCCAAACAAAATGTATGTCTCTGGGCATCATTATGTAACCTTTGTTTATGAAAGTGGAGAGAAAACAGAAGCAGAGAGCATGTATTGGAGACCAAGGCTTGGAGATGGGTGGAAGAGAAATAAGAATGAAAAACTCCAGGAAGTGTAGTAGAGTCAAAGTCGAAGTTGGTTTCCCCAAGCCATCCATGTCCACTGTGACAATATAGAAGCTAACTCACTTTTAGCTTTAATTAGTCACCTTGCAATTAAGGAATATGGCTAGTAAGCAAGGCTAGTCGGGAGGCCAAGAGATGGCAATGGACAAGGCAAGAGGATAAACAAAAATGTTTTCTACACCTCAGCATGGCAGTGCATGTATCTTTTTAGGAGAGCCTCACACTGAGTACAGAGAAGCAAATGGAACCTACTCAAGATTGACTAACAAGTCACTGACCAGAGCTAAATATTGCTATTACGACTTGGTTAAAGCACTCAAGAGACAAGACCAATATTGAATGCTTTCATTCACAGGACCATGTAAATATTTTTCACATGACCTGAGTCAAATAGTATACTATAATTACATTTCCCTTTTTGCTCATTTTTCCCTTTTAGGGTTAATCACTGTCTCTATTTTAATAGTTTTTTAAATTGACTTACTACTAATTTATCCCCAACATCTCTCACAATTCTAAAATTCCTCTTTCTCTAGAATGGTGATTCTTTAGGTTTGCCAAGCAGCTATGATCCTAGAAGTTCACTTCACTAGTAGCTTCTTTTGCTTCTACTCTTAAATTAAATGTCTGTCTTTTTTGCTTTCATGCCACGTATTGGTAAAGAATATCTTCTTCCTAAGAAAAGATACAGGGTGATCTATTTTTGGATTGTTCATATTGGAAATGTATTCAATTTTCTTATACTTGATTAATAGCAGGGCTATGTATGGAAACAATTTTCCCTCAAGATTTTGAAAGCATTACTTCACTGTCTCTTAGTTTTTGGTGCTGCTTAGAGAATTCTGTGCCATTCTGAATCTTACCCTTTGAATATGGTGTACTTTATTTCTCTGGATGCACATATATATTATCTTTACGCCAGTGTTCTAAAGTTTTTGATTCATAAAGTTTTGTCCAAATTATAAAGTTTTGTCCAGTTTTGAAGATTAGCAAAAATAACAAGTCAGATTCGTCACTTGTTTCACTATGAATTCAAAAAAAGAAAAACAAAAAAAAAGACTTACAAAACAAAGAATCTCATGATAGCAAGGTTCCCTGATGCTTCCTGAGTCTGTTGTGAAAGCTAATCTAGAATATAGTGTTCTCAACAAACTGCACAGATGAAGGCAAGTCTAATGGAACTCTGGAGCACAGGTTCACTGCCTTCTCTACAATTCAGGCTAATTGTTAGATCCAGGGAGCCCCCTATTCCTGTATTAAGAAATCTATTCTGTGCCACAGTTACATCTACTGTTAGCATATTTCTTTTTTTTTTTTTTTAAGTTCAGGGATTCAGTGCAGGTTTGTTCCACAGGTAAACTTGTGTGATGACAGTTTGTTGTACAGATTATTTCATCACCCAAGTATTAAGCCCACTACTTATTAGCTATTTTTCCTGATTCTCTCCATCCTCCCACCCACCACCATCCAATAGGCCCCAGTGTGTGTTGTTCTCCTCTATGTGTCCATGTGTTCTCATAATTTAGCTCCCACTTATAAGTGAGAACATGTATTTGGTTTTCTGTTCCTGCATTAGGTTGCTAAGGATAATGGCCTCCAGCTCCATACATGTCCCTGCAAAAAACATGATCTCGTGCTTTTTTATGGCTGCATGATATTCTACGGTGTATATGTAGCACATTTCCCTCATCCAATCTACCATTGATGGGTATTTATGTTGATCCCATATCTTTGCTTTTGTTAATAGTGCTGCAATGAACATACATGTGTTAGCATATTTCTTACTGTGTCATCAGTCCTGTGCATATTTTCTCTTTTTAAAATTTCTTCTTCTTAACATTAAGCAGGGCCTTTCAATCTGAGGACTTTTGTCCTTTGGTTCTAGTAATTTTATTATTTATCTGAGACTTCCATCTTTTCTCTTTGTGAAACTCCTATTAGATGACAGATCATTCTCAACACAAGGAAATGATAAATGTTTGAGGTGATGCATGTCTTAATTACCCTGATTTTATCATTACACATTATATACATGTGTCAAAATATCACATGTATCCCCATAAATATGTATAATCATGTATCAATTTACATATGATTTTCCTCTTATTTTCTAATCTTTGGTTTTGGATTATAGTTTTTATTTATCTTCAAATCTTCTGTTGAATTATTCATTTCTATTACCAATTATTCATTTTCAGAAGCTCTTTCCTATTCAATGAATATGTACACATACACACACAAGGTATATGATAGGACATATAATAGCACATATTACACAATATAATTTTATATTTGATTAACATCTGTAAAATATAACGCAATGTTATATAACATACAACACACCTCCTTTTATTGTGCTTTTCATTATTGTGTGTCACAGATTTCACACTTTTTGCAAATTGAAGATTTGTGGCAACCCTGTAGGAAGGAAGTCTATTGGCACCATTTTTCCAACAGCGTGTGCTCACTTCATGTCTCTGTGTTACATTTGGGAAATTCTTAAAGTATCTCCAGGTTTTCCAAAACCATTATGTCTCTCATGGTGATCTGTGATCTGTGATATCTGGTATTATTATTGTAATCATTTGGGAGCACCAGAAATTGTGTCTATATAAAATGAAAAGCTTAATTGATAAATGTTGTATGTGTTCTAACTACTTCATCGACCAGCCATTCCCCCATGTTTCTTTCTCTCCTTAGGATTGCCTATTCCCAGAAAAACAATAATATTGAAATTAGGCCAAATAATAGCCCTACAGTGGCCTCTAAGTGTTCAAGTAAAAAGAAGAGTCATAAGTCTCTCACTTTAAATCAAAAGTTAAAAATGATTAAGCTTAGAAAGCAAGGCATGACAAAAGCCAAGACAGGCTGAAAGCTAGGTTTTATGTATCAAACAGCCAAGTTTTGAAGGCCAAGGAAGAGTCTTGAGGGAAGTAAAAAGCGCTACTCCAGTGAACACACGAATTGTAAGAAAGTGAAAGAGGCTTATTGCTGATACAGAGAAAGATTTAGTTGTCTGGATAGAAAATTAAACCAGTGACAACATTCTCTTGAGCCAAAGGCTAATTCAGAGTAAGGCCCTAACTTTATTCAATTCTACGAAGGTTGAGAGAGGTGAGGAAGATGCAGAAGAAACATCTAAATCTAACAGAGGTTGGCTCATGTGGTTTAAGGAAGGAAGCTATCTTCATAACATAAAAATGCAAAGTGAAGGCAGGAAGAAAACCACAATGGCCAACTAAATGCAGCCAGGAAGAATTTCTCCCAGTGAGAGATCAGATGATCAGGAAGACTGGCACACTCCAAGCAGATCTTCAGAAGAAAGGTATTGAGACAGGATGGAGGGAAGATGTAGACCCTGGGCTGAGGTGCGGAGGAACCTGGGAAAACTGCACAGCATTTCTGAGCACCAGGACTTGTTCCTGGCACTGAATAGTTCCCAGGAATGGATGAGTTACATACAGTATTCCAGTTTCACCACAAACTCCAGAATCCTAGCTGCAGGAGACCCAAGGACCTCCATACACATTTGAACTGGCAGGGAGAGCTGGTTGGAGAGTTATCAAGGACAGGACTCCAGCTCATGTGGAACCCAGAGGGTTTGGCATGGGTATGACTATAGTGGAGAATGGCCAGGGATGCCCATACTCCAAGGCTTGCCATGCTCCTCTGGATAGATTTTGGCCATTGCTGCCTGTTGAAGCTGGACAGACAAGGTGATTTTGTCCATGGGTTGGGGCCTGTCTGATCTGAACAACCCCACCATCTGCTGGTTTCTCCCAGTGTCCCTTCCTGGCTGCACCTACCAGCAGCCCAGTCACAGATGCCCAATCAGGGCACTTAGTGGCAGTTGCTGCCATAGCTTCTTCACTGGAAGACCCCATCTAACATCAGAGAGCTTCTACAGATGGGCTGCCACCAGTGTGCACCCATCCTCAGCCTCCCCTCACTGTTTTGCTGGTGCACACAGCCTCTTTCCACCACTTTGCCAGCACGTGTGTGCTCATGGACTTCACTGCCCAACTACCGCTGGTGCATGCACACATATGTGAGCACGCACCCTGCTCCCACTGCCCCAGTGAAGCACTTTTGCTGGTACCCTTTACTGGAGACTGGAGTGCTGGTCCTAGCAGATCGGAAAAATCTCAGCTCCTCCAGCACAGCAGGAGCTTAACCACGAGGGTAGCCAGAGAACAAAGCAGTGGGCCTGGTCCCAGTCCCCCAGAGTTAGAGCATGCAGCCTGGGAGTGCTAAGCTGAGTCTTGGCTCCCTGAAATCATCCAGAAAGGAAGCCAGTCAACTGAACTCAGCTTATGCCATAGTCAAACCCTCGAGGGATCAAAGAATATAAAAGCAAAAAGCCCTATCCAAAGGATAGCAACTTCAAAGATTAAATCAACATTAGCCCACACAGACGAGAAAGAATCGACTGTGCAAGAGCTCCAGCAACTCAAAAAGCCAGAGTGTCTTCTTACCTCCAAATGACTATACTAGCTTCCCGGCAATGCTTTTAGCCAGAATGAGATGGCTGAAATGACAGACAAAGAATTGAGAAAATGGATGGCAAGGAAGATCATCAAGATGCAGGAGAAAGTTGAAACCTAATCCAAGGAATGTAAGGAATCCAGTGAAGTGATACAAGAGCTGAAAGACCAAGTAGACATTTTAAGAAAGAACCAGGCTGGGCTCCGTGGCTTACACCTGTAATCTCAGCACTTTGGGAGGCCGAGGCAGGCGAACTTGAGGTCAGGAGATCGAGACCATCCTGGCCAATGTGGTGAAACCCCGTCTCTACTAAAAATATAAAAAATAGCTGGGTGTGGTGGTGCATGCCTGTAATCTCAGCTACTTGGGAGGCTGATGCATGAGAATCGCTTGAACCCTGGAGGCAGAGGTGAGCCGAGATTGCGCCACTGCACTCCAGCCTGGCAACATTGTGAGACTCTGTCAAAGAAAGAAAGAAAGGTAAGAAAGAAAAGAAATGAAGAAAGAAAGAACCAAATTGATCTAAAAGACCTGAAAAACTACAAAAATTACATACTACAATCCAAAGTATTGACAGCAGAATAGACAAAGCTGAGGAAAGAATCTCAGAACTCAAAGACCAGTTCTTCAAATCAACTCAGACAAAAATAAAGAAAAATGAACAAAACCTCCAAGAAATATGAGATTGTATAAGGAGACCAAACCTATGACTCACTGACATCTCTGAAAGAGAAAGAGAACAAGCAACTGGAAAACATATTTCAGAATACTGTCCACAAAAATTTCCCCAACCTTGCTAGAGAAATCAACATTCAAACTCAAAAAATTCAGAGAACCCTTGCGAGATACTACGCAAGATGGCCATCCTCAACACACACAATCATCAGATTCTCCAAGGTTAAGGTAAAAGAAAAAAGATTAAAGGCAGCTAGAGAGAAGAAGCAGGTCACATACAAAGAGAACCCCATCAGTTTAACAGTGGATCTTTCAGCAGAAACCCTACAAACCAGAAGAAATGCAGGCCTATATTCAACAACCTTAAACAAAAGAAATTATACCAAGAATTTCATATCAAGTCAAACTAAGGTTGTAAGGCAGAGAAATGAAATCCTTTTCAGATAAGCAAATGCTAAGGGAATTGGTTAACACCAGATCTACCTTTAAGAGTTCCTTAAAGGAGTGCTAAACATGGAAATGGGACACTGTTACCCAGCCACCACAAAAACACACTTGAGTACATAGACCATTGACCCTAAGAAACTGCTACACAATCAAGTCTACATAAGAACCAACTAACAATATGATGATGGGATCAAATTGGCACATATCAATATTAACCATGAATGTAAATGAGCTAAACACCATCACTTAAAAGGCACAGAATGGTAAGTGGGATAACGAAGCAAGATCCAAATGCATGCTGTCTTTAAGAGACCCTTCTCACATGCAATGACACTCATAGGATCAAAGTAAAGAGATGGAGAAAAATCTATCAGGCGAACCGAAACAAAAAAAGAGCAGTGGTTGGTTGCTATTCTTATTTCAGACAAAACAGACTTTAAACCAACAATGATAGAAAAGTACAAAGAAGGGAATTGCATAAAGGGTTCACTTCAATAATAAGTCCTAACTATCTTGATATATATGCAGCCAATACTGGAGCACCCAGATTCATAAAATAAGTTCTTGGAGACCCACCGAGAGACTTAGATAACAATACAATAATAGTGGGAGACTTCAACACCCCACTGCCAGTATTAGATCACTGAGGCAGAAAACTAACAAACATTTTCAGGACCAAAGCTTGACCCTTGATGAAATGGCTCTAACAGACATTTAAAGAACACTTCACCCAGAAATAACAGGATATACATTCTTCTCATGTGTACATGGCACATACTCTAAAAATCAACCACATGCTTGGCCATAAAGCAATTCTCAACAAATTAAAAACAAAACAAAATCGTACCAATCACACCTTCAGACCACAGCACAATAAAAATACATATCAGTATCAAGAAGATCTCTCAGAACCATAGAAGTCCATGGAAAGTAAGCAATCTGCTCCTGAATGACTTTGGGGTAAATAGTGACACCGAGGCAGAAATCAAGAAATTATTTGAAATTACTAAAAACAAAGATATAGCATACCAGCATCTACGGAACACAGCTAAAGCAATGTTAAGAAGGTTTACAGCACTAAAAGACCAAATCAAAAAGTTAGAAAGATATCAAATTAACAATATAACATCACACCTGGAGGAACTACAAAAATAAGAGCAAACCAACCTCAAAGCTATCTGAAGAAAAGAAATAACCAAAATTAGAGCAGAACTGAATGAAATGGAGACAGATAATATAATATAAAAGATCAATGAAACCAAAAGTTTCTTCTTTAAAGAATAAGTAAGATTGATATACTGGTAGCTGACTAATAGAGAAGATCCAAATAAACAAAATCAGAAGTGACAAAGAGAACATTACCACTGACCCCACAGAAATACAAGAAACCCTCAGAGACTATCAAACACCTCTATGAACACAAACTAGAAAACGTAGAAAAAAATGAGTAAATTCCTGGAAACATACAACCTCTTAAGATTGAACCAGGAAGAAATTGAAACCATGACCAGACCAATAATGAGTTCTGAAATTGAATCAGTAATAAATAAATGAAAAATCTAGCAACCAGAAAAAGCCCTGGACCAGATACATTCACAGCGGAATTCTACCAGATATATAAAGAAGAGCTGGTACTAATGCTACTGAAAGTATTCCAAATAATTGAGGAGGGAAGACTCCTCCTTAACTCATTCTATGATGCCAGTATAATTCTGATACCAAAACATGGCAGAGACATAACCCAAAAACTTCAGGCCCATATTGCTGATGAAAATAGATGCAAAAATCCTCAACAAAATACTTACCAACCAAATTCAGCAGCATATCACAAAACTAAAAAACTAATCTACCATGATCAAGTAGGCTTTATTACATGGATGCAAGTTTGATTCAACATATACAAGCCAATAAATGTGATTCATTATATAAATAGAACTAAAAGTAAAAATCACATGATCATCTCAACAGCTGCAGAAAATAGTTTTAATAAGATTCAACGTTCTTCATGTTAAAAACCCTCAATAAACTAGGCATCAAAGGAACATATCTCAAAATAAAAAGAGTCATCTATCAAAAAGCCACAGCAAAGATCATACTAAATGGGCAAAAACTGAAAGCACTGGACTTGACCCAGAACAAGACAAATATGCCCAGCATCACCATTCCTATCCAACATAACACTGGAAGTCCTAGCCAGAGCAAAGAGGCAAAAGAAAGAAAGAAAAGGCATCCAAATAAGAAGAGAAAAAATCAAACTCCTAATTTCACAAAAGATATGATTCTATACTGAGAAAACCCCTAGTCACTGCCCAAAGACCCCTAGATCTGATACACAACATCAGCAACATTTCAGGACACAAAATCAATGTACAAAAATCAGTAGCATTTCTAGACACCAACAACATCCAAGCTGAGAGCCAGATCAAGAACACAGTTCCATTCCCAATAGCCACAAAAGAATAAAATACCTAGGAATACAGCTAACAAGGAAGGTGAAAGATCTTTACAATGAGAATTACAAAATACTGCTCAAAGAAATCAGAGGTGACACAAACAAATGGAAAAACATTTCAGTCATGGACAGGGAGAATCAATATTGTTAAAATAGCCATACTTCCCAGAGCAATTTACAGATTCAATGCTATTCCTATCAAACTACCAATGACATTTTTCACAGAATTTTTTAAAAACTATTTTAAAATGTATATGGAACCAAAAAAGAGCCTGAATAGCCGAAACAATTCTAAGCAAAAAGAGCAGAGCTGGAAGCATCATTACCCAACTTCAAACCATGCTACAAGGCTACAGTAACCAAAACAGCATGGTACTGATACAAAAACACAGACCAATGGAACAGATTAGAGAACCCATAAATAAAGTGCACACCTACAGATATTTGATCTTTGACAAAGTTGACAAAAAAGCAATGGGGAAAGGACACCCTATTCAATAAAAGGTGCTGGAATAACTGGCTAGACATATGTTTGAAAATTGAAAACTGGACACCTCATTCTACTATGCACAAAAATCAACTGAAGATGAATTAAAGACTTACATGTAAAAACTGAAACTATAAAACCCTCGAAGAAAACCTAGGAAATACCATTCTGGACATAAGCCCTGACAAAAATTTCATGACAAAGGCTCCAAAAGCAAATACAACAAAAATAAAAATTGACAAATGGGATCTAACTAAACTAAAGGGCTTCTTCAAAGCAACAGAGTAAAGAGACAACCTACAGAATGGTAGAAAATATTTGCAAACTATGCCTTCAACAAAGCCCTAACACCCAGAATCTGTAAGGAACATAAATTAGCAAGAAAAAAGCAAACAATTCCATTAAAAATAGGCAAAGGGGCTGGGTGTGGTGGCTCATGCCTGTAATCCTAGCACTTTGGGAGGCCGAGGCAGGCAGATTACCTGAGGTTGGGAATTCAAGACCAGCCTTACCAATATGGAGACACCCCATCTCTACTATAAAAACAAAAATTAGCTGGGCGTGGTGGTGCATGCCTATAGTCCCAGATCCTCGGGAGGCTGAGGCAGGAGAATCGCTGGAACCCAGGAGGCAGAGGTTGTGGTGAGCCAAGATCACGCCATTGTACTCCTTCAGCCTGGGCAACAAGAGTGAAACTCCGTCTCAAAAAAAAAAAAAAAAAAAAAAGGAAAAAGGCAAAGGACATAAGTAGACATTTCTCAAAAGACATACACATAGCCAACAAACAGATGAAACAATTCTCAACATTACTAAACATTAGAGGAATGCAAATCAAAACCACAATGAAATACCGTCTCACACCAGTAAGAATGGCTATTATTAAAAATTCAAAAAATAACAGAAACTGAGGCTGGGCACGGTGGCTTACGCCTGTAATCCCAGCACTTTGGGAGGCCGAGGCGGGCAGATCACGAGGTCAGGAGATCGAGACCATCCTGGCTAACATGGTGAAACCCTGTCTCTCCTGAAGATACAAAAACTTAGCCAGGCGTGGTGGCAGGTGCCTGTAGTCCCAGCTACTTGGGAGGCTGAGGCAGGAGAAAGGCATGAACCCAGGAGGCGGAGCTTGCAGTGAGCCGAGATCGTGCCACTGCACTCCAGCCTGGGCGACAGAGCAAGACTGCATCTCAAAAACAAACAAACAAACAAACAAAAAACAGAAACTGGCAAGGTTGCAAAGAAAAAGAAATGCTTACACATTGCTGCTGGGAATGTAAATTAGTTCAGTCACTATGGACGACACGGCCATAAAAAAGAATGACATCATGTCCTTCGCAGCAACATGGATAGAACTGGAGGCCATTGTCCTAAGCAAATTAATGAAGTAACAGAAAACCAAATACCACATATTCTCTCTTATAAGTGGGAGCTAAACATTGAGTACACATGGACACAAAGAAGGCAATAATGGACACTGGGGCCTACTTGAGGGTGGAGAATGGCAGGAGAGTGAGGATCAATAACCTACCTGTTGGGTAGGCGCATTACTTGGGTGACAAAATGATTTGCACACCAAACTCCCACAACATGCAATTTACCATGTAACTAACCTGCACATGTACCCCCTGAACCTAAAATGTGGGAAATGTGCAAGGTGAAGTAGCAAGTACTGATGTAGAAGGTGCAGCAAGTTAGCCAGATCTAGCTAGAAAATTAAAAGGTGACTACACTAAGTAACAAAATTTTAATGTAGATAAAACAGCCTTATTTTGGAAGAAGATTTCATAGCTAGGATTTCATAGCTAGAGAGAAATCAATGCCAAGCTTCAAAGCTTCAAAGGACAGATTGACTCTCCTGTTAGGTGACTTTCAGCTGAAGTCAATGCTCATTTGCCATTCTGAAAATCCTAGGACCCTTAAGATATATGTCAAACCTACTCTGTCTGTGCTCTATGGATAGAACATCTGCTTACAGTAGGATTTACTGAATATTTTAAGCTCACTGTTGGGACTGTTCCTTTCAAAATATTATTGCCCATTAACAATGCACCTGGTTACCCAAGAGCTCTGATGGAAATATTCAAGAAGATTAACACTGTTTTCATGACTGCTAACACAACATCCATTCTGCAGCCCATGAATCAAGGAGTAGTTTGGACTTTCAAGTTTTATTATTTAAGAAATACATTTCATACCGTCACAGATAGTGATTCATCTGATGGATCTGGGCAAAGTAAATTGAAAACCTTCTGGAAGGGCTTCATCATTCTCGATGTTATTATGAACACTCGAGATCCATCAGAGGAGGTCAAAATATCAACATTAACAGGAGTTTGGAGGAAGCTGATTCCAACACTCAGATGACTTTGAGAGACTCACGACTTCAGTGGAGGAAGTAACTGCAGACGTCGTGGAAATAGCAAGACAACTATAATTACAAGTGAAGCCTGAAGATATGACTGAATTGCCATGATCTCATGATAAAACTTAAACAGATGAGGAGTTGCTTCTTATGGATGAGCAAAGAAAGTGGTTTCTTGAGATAGAATATACTCCTGGTGAAGATGCTGTGAACATTATTGAAATGATAACAAAGGATTTAGAATATTCCATTAACATAATTGATAAAGCAGTGGCAAGGATTGAGGAAATTGGCTCTGATTTTGAAAGAAGTTCTACTATGGATGGTACACTATCAAACAGTATTGTATGCTACAGAGAAATGGTTCATGAAAGAAAGAGTCAATCAATGTGGCAAACATTATTGTCTTACTTTAAGAAATTACCACAGACACCCCAACCTTCAGCAGTCACCGCTCTGATCAGTCAGCAGTTCTCAACATCAAAGCAAGACACTTGACCAGCAAAAAGATTGCAGCTTGCTGAAGGCTCAAATGATTGTTAGCAATTTTTAGCAATAGACTACTGTATAGTGTAACCATAACCTTTATATGCACTGGGAAACCAAAAACTTCATGTGATTCCTTTAATTGCAGTATTTGCTTTATTGCAGTGGTCTGAAACCAAACCCACAATGTCTCCAAGGTATGCCTCTGTTTTATTATATATAATTCCTTGTATGTGTGTGGGGGGGGACGATATACAGAGGATCCTAAGACCACAAAATGTTTAGATAAATACATGAAAAAAAAATAGACCCATAGGATTGATGCACAGTAAGAAATAGGCTGACAGTGGATGTAACTATGGCACAGAATAGATTTCTGAATATGGTAATAGGAGGCTCCCTAGATTCTTTGCATATACATATATATAAACAGACAAGGTATACCATATAAGGTATGATATACAGTGTAATATATCAAGTAGTAATATTGTACATGTATTATAAATTATATTAAATATGTAAGAAAGACTAATATGTAAAAATATATAAATACATATTAAATAATTTAGATAGCTATGGGTTGGTAGGTGGGTGGGTGGGTGGATAGATAGATAATGCCAAGTAGAAATATCTAGTCTGGGTCCGTATTTATCTCTGGATTCTTCTTGTGCATCAGAAAGCATCATCTTTTCATCCACTTACTCCATTTCATGTATTTTCACCCAGTAGCTATTTTCACTGGGTCCAGTTAGAAGAAGGAAAAGATAAACTTATTCATTGGATTTTCCCCTCGTATTTGGGGTCTTGGAATTCTAAGGTTGTTGTTTTTATTTGTTTCTGCTTCTAGCCATAAGGGCTTCACTCTGCTAATAGCACTCTGCTCCCCATGAGAATTTTCTTGTTGCTTTTTGTTGCTGTTGTTGTTAGCCAGCAGTGTTTTAGTTATGGAAGTAGATTACATGAAAACTGCAAAAAAAATTTGTGGACACTTTGTTTTGAATTGTGTCTTTAGGTTTGGTTTGGGGAGGATTAGGGTGAGATGTTTCCATCAGGAAGCCTGAATCCACTACCTTAATCGACAAGCCCATGGTGCAAGTGCAACTAATCACTGTCTAATTCTTAACTTTTGCAAGATTTAGAAAAGATATTTATGATTGGGTTTTATTAAAATAGGTATCATATGAGTAAAGGTAGTTGATCTTTTTATTTGAGCTTATTTTTCATTTTATCAGGAAGAGTGCATGTGTTAGACCTTGGAGAGGAGATCTAAGATCTACACCTTGATATTAATAGTATTAGGTAATTTAGCAAACTTATTTTAATGGATTAAATGTTTATATGTATCACATATAGATGTGCACAAAATAGAAATATTAAATCTTAATTGTTTTTATTGAAAAAGATATAAACTATTAATACAGTAGAAAAGAAAACCTTTAATTGCTAAACAAATGTTTCATTCTTAAACTAGCCATATCACTTCTGTTCAGTTAAGTATATACTGTGAAGCTATATTTTTATTTAAACTGTCCATTAATTTAATATGCTCTTGCTTTTTTTTTTTTTTTTTAAAAAAAAAGAGTTGGTTAGTCAGAAGCTGTGAGTCTACATAAATAAGGAAGAATAAGAAAGTTGTAAATTGCTTGTAACAGGCAGACTAAATTTTTTTAAAATGCTGCACCTTTAGAAGTGACCAGAAGTTCTTTCTGAATGACTCCATTGATTTCTGGTGTTTTCATTGGCTTTTAAATGCTGGCTTCCATTCTTTCAAAATGATGAGGACAAATAGGACAAGAAATATTATACTGAGTAGGTAATTATATAAATTAGAGTATTTGCTTATCTAGATTGAATCAAGCAGTCTTTTGCCCTAAAATGGTGTTTTCAAAATTGCAAAACAAATATAAGCTTAAAAAAATACCTTTTTGTTTTTTTAGAAAGTTTCGCAGAATATGGAGTTGCAGAGATGGAAGTATATATAGCTAGGTTATCAATCTGATGCTTAAATTCCTTGGTGCCAGTTATGGAAATAATTCTACAAATTCCTGGTAAAATTTGTATTTTTCAGCTAACATATACTTGGAGACATTCACAGAAGATATATGTACAAGTCTATATTACCTTGGGTAAATACCCTTCTAAAACAATTTTGTTTATCTGTGTTTTCTGATTTATAGTGATGGCTTGATTTAAATCTATGGGTGTCAGGACTGCTTTCTCTGGCTTTTGGGCTCCAGCCCATATTGCATCTCTACCAAGACACTCCAAAGTATCTACTGTGTTACTCTCTAGGGGTGGAAAACAAAGAAACCAAAATAAAACATTACTTTACATCTAGGTGAATTTCTTCAAACCATTTCTAATTGGCTTTCCAGAGGAAATCCTACTGAATTAATTTACATATTTAGCTGCTACTTTAAAATAACATTTCTCTGGAAGTAGGTGAACAACACTTTCCAATACCAATAGCTAGAGACCAAGCGTACACACACACACACATTTTGAGAGAATGAGAGAAGGGGAGAAAAAAATTGTTTCTTTCAGCTAGTGCACTGAGCAAGTCTTGCACCATTCTTAAGAGAATGAACTCACACTGTGAGCAACTCACAATTAACCCTCTCCAAATTGATGAGGACTCGGGAGAAACACACTATGTATATGGTGCACTTTAATATACTTTTGGCCTTAGTCTGCTCTGGGGTACTTTCCTTGCGCAATTAATTGTATTCTCCTATACAACTATGGCAAAAATGAACAAATTCAGATAGCTCTTCAGAGTCCATGTTAAGTGTGATCTCTATCATGACATGATGAGATAGATATAATTTCTGTAAGACAAAGATGTAAGACAAAGACTATATTTCCCAAGTTAAATCATATATAATTAGTTCAAAATGTCATATGTAAATTCCCTTTGCAATTATTATATTCAGAAAGGCATCATATAAAGCAAATTCAAATATATTTTATAGTATTATACAATCACGGCCATATAAAAAGAAGTTAACTTAAAGGAACACTATTTTTTTTGAGAAAGGGTCTCATTCTGTCATCCAGGCTGGAGACAGTGGCACAATCACAGCTCACTGCAGCCTTGATCTCCTGGGCTCAAACCATCCTCCCAGCTAAGGATAGAATGTAACCCCTGGTAACCACTATTCTACTCTCTGAATATATGAATTAGGTATTTCCAGTGATAACCTATGCACCCTTTTGACGTAAAAGGCTTTGTTTTCATCTAGGTAATGTGTCAGATGTATAAAATTGTTGGTGTTTATCTATCTTTTAGACAGACGGGCTGCAAAGGCAGTTTCCTTGACATCAAACTATCAAGGAAGCACATATATACCACTGGGTTCTTGAATTCCTGCTTTGTGTCACAGGATGCCAAGAGCCCCCCAGACCAAAGTAATCTTATTAAAAATGTCCAAGGAGAAGCAATTCCATATAGGCGGCAGGTTTCCTCAGACAGGCACACCTCTGTCTCCCTTGCCCCACCCCTGCACCCCATCATGAGGTGTGAGCAGTTAGGGTGGTCGGGGATTATGAATAGCCATTGGAGAAAGTATTAATTTTTATTTATGTACTAACCAAATGTACTCTCTTAAAGAAGGGATATGCATAGCCTAGCAGGCATGATTTTATTACTACCCTTATTTTCCCTGAACAGCCCTGTAAATAGCCAAAGGGCCATGGTGACGAAGGAGAGGAGGTATGGGTACTGGTAACATCAGGAACTAATTTAGTTTAGGCCACAGTCTCAACCCTTGCAGGCCTAAGCATTCCTCTGTAGTAGAAAGTTCTGTGACATGTTAGGGATAAGCCTAGTGTCCAGCTGAACCACTCAGGGAAGTATAATCTAGGGCTGGGTTCAAGTGGGAGCTCTACATCCTGGGAGTCAAACTCAGGCTTGGCGAATCACTGAGTCAGAAACTGGTGCTTGAAGACTCGGAAGTAATTCAGACAGTGGCGACCCCACATGCTTCCAGGTATATGGTCAACTCCTAGAGTCAGACACCAGGGAAGGGTGGAACAGTCCCCCAGAAGGTGCCTCCCTTTTGCCTCTCTTGATTATCCCCACTCCCACCTTCATCAGATAAGCGTTATTAAGGCTATTGAAAAGGATTGTGCAATGATCATAGGAGGAGGTTTTTGTTTTGTTTTTAATTTAAGTATTGCAGAAAGTGTGCTCTCTTGACAAGATTTAACACCTGCGTAATTGGTCCTCATAGACCAGGGATGGATAAAGTGCCTAGATAAAGTGTCACCACAGCTGCTTTGTACTGTACACGGCATTCCTGAAAAAAGGGATGCACAGATACTGTATTGTGATTGTAACCCCAGAGGCCTTATTCTACACTATTTTCTCCCCCAAATTATAGCTGTAATCTGGGGTACATATTTGAGAGTTCAATTTCTGGTTTTCCTACCCAACAATCTATGACAGATAAATACAAGATCCCAAGCTGGTACCCCTGCCCTGCCACCCTCTGAGTTGTTTCCTTAGTAACTGGAATGGGTTTGTTGTGATCTGGCCACAGCAATGACCTTAGACAAAAATCATGCAGTCTGTACAGTGTTTCTCCCTTGCCTTGGTGGTCCACCCTCCTTTCCCGATGCCCTGCAAGGCATAATTGTGCTATCCTTTGGCCCACGTGGGTCTTTCTGTTACCTGTCACCAAGTCACACTCAAAGCAACATCCTTAATTTGGACTTGCAAAGTTTCCTTCTCTACTCAAATTTTATTTGTGCAATTTTTACTTCCTTTGGGGTCTTCTTCAAAGTCAAGAAGATTGAAGCTCCATGTACGAATTAAACCTCTGACTTTGGACTTGTTATGACAATTTTCTAACCTACTAAGCAAAGAGGCCATATTTAAGTCCAACACAAACACTTTGTCCTCACATGCTCCAGCCCCCATTGCAGGAGGAGAAAATTGTGCTGGTGTGTTTAAAGGCTGAAAGTAAAGGAAGGAAACCTTAAGCCAAGTAAATTGAAAATAAATATTATTTTTCTCTAAGGCTGCACCAACGTGAAAAATCTCCTTTCAAGAAACAACCTTTGCTATTAGCTCTCGATGTGCCAAAAAGTCAGTGATGGTAGCTCCTAAAGAAATTAAGTTGATACTTTTTCTCAGACTGTAAACTCAGCATTATTTAGAATCTCTTCTAAACTTCCAGCATTCTAGGGTTCAAAAATATTTAAGTTTCCAACTGAAAAATAGAGGATTTATTTTGAAAATCTTTTTGGCAGCTTTGTCTGCCTACATAAAAGTTTTAGAAATCTTAATTGGATAATTAAAATATTTTATAAAGTTTCCTAGAAACACACCTAAATGCCTAAATGGCATTTAAAAATGATCAGAATGGTGATTATGGCCATTGGATCCAGAAATACACAATGTCAAAATGCTATAAACAACTAGGCTTGGCTGGGTGCGGTGGCTCACATCTGTAATCCCAGCACTTTGGGAGGGTGAGGTGGGCAGATCACAAGGTCAGGAGTTCGAGACCAGCCTGGCCAATGTAGTGAAACCCTGTCTGTACTAAAAATACAAAAAAAAAATTACCTGATCATGGTGGTGGGCCCCTATAGTTCCAGCTACTTGGGAGGCTGAGGCTGGAGAATCACTTGAACCCGGGAGGTGGAGGTTGCACTGAGCCGAGATCGCGCCACTGCAGTCCAGCCTGGGTGACAGAGCAAGACTCCGTCAAAAAAAAAACAAAAAAAACAAAAAACAACAACAACAACAACAACAACAAAAAAAAAACAAAACGGCTTTGCCTTTCCTGGGTGAGCAAAAGTGATGTACAAAAAGGAAATATGTGAACCAAAAAACATAAGTCGCCTAAGATTGATGTGATCCTTGACTTTTTAAAGTACCTGGGAGGAGAAAAGTGGAGAAATCAAATGAAGGCTGGCAACTGAGTATTTCCCACAAATGGGTGTCTTTTTTCTTTATTTAGTCAGCCTTCTTTCCTCACTACCATTTATTTTTGTTATCAATTAAGGTTGGGTACTAAGTTTCCAGTGTATTCATTTTGAGTATCAAATAAGAGAAACAACTTTGGCTGGTGGTCTCTCCAGATATATTTTATCAGCTTGAGAAGCAGTTCTAGAATATGTATTGCAGCAACCTCATTCTCTGACCCAAGCTTTGTGTGTTTTCAGACCATCTGTAGTGTACATGATGACATTCTCTGCCTCAATGTTGGTTATCTCTTTGGCAGATTGAAGTAGAAATGCTTAAGTTTTGTGACCTCAAAACACTGGAAACCTGTGATTTTCCTCTTTTTCAGACATACTAATACATTTCTCCATACATCACACTTGTTTCAGTTCTTTATTCTTGCACTTGATCTAAAAAGTCAACAATTAGTTAACTTTGGAAGTTCTTTGAGATTGAAGATGATAAGCCAGGTACTCAGTTCCTTGTTTGGGAAAATGGTAGTTTATAACTATGTTTCTGTTTAATTATAACTCCTTTCCTGATTATAAAAGTGATACCATCCTGTTGTTGAACATATAAAAGGAAAAAAAATCCCACCACTCAAAGATAACTGCAGGCCATCTAAGGTGTGTGTGTGCATGTGGGTGTGTGTGCATGTGAAGGCAGGCTGAAAATATGATTTTGTACTCCATATTGTACTAAATTATAAACACCTACTCACAGTACTAAAAGTAGTCTGTATAAATGATACTTAGAGGCCACATAATATTCCATTGTATGTTTATCCTATTAGATTGAGCCATATGGAATTGCCAGTATTTAATCTTTTAAACAACAAAAAATGTCAGTTTGATGTGGTTCAACTTAGTAAAATTTAAATTTTGTTCCCCAGTTATTGAACATCATGTCTAGCTTTGTCAAAATGTTTTTAAAAAGTTACCTAGGAACGTTCATGAACATATCTGTATTAGTTCACTTATTTAACCATTTCTTCAGAATAATTTCCAGGAAAAGAAATAATTGATTTGAAAGATAGAAAAATATGGAGGCTCTTCCACCTATTTTGAAATTGCTTGCAAAAGGGTTGTAGCAATTTATATTCTTCTTGACTATGTACCCTACTCTATCAATTTTACTCTACCCTCACAGAAATTGAGGATTATAGTATTTTTATCTCTGCTAATCGTGTAAATATTATATGCCATATTTCTTAACATGTCTATAATTAGCACATTTCATATTTGCTTCAATTTTTCCAATTTTGTTCAAGATGATAAAAACTCAATTCAAAAATATATGAAACTTCTTGAGAGGTAGGGCCCAAAACCTAAAATGGAATTGGGTTTAACATCATGATACTGAATTACTCTTATTACCCCAGATCCATGATAACAGACTGTCTTTAGTAAAACATAGGAAACTACAGAGATGCTTGCAATTGAATTGCCACTATTTTTGACTTATATGAAAAGGATGTCAACTTTCCTATTGTAATTAAGTCATTTGCATGCAAAATATATGCCTGGATTCCCCGTATTTCTTCGGTAGAGGAGATTTTTTGTTTTGTTTCAACCTCTTAAAGGATCAGTAATTTTTCTATCCTTAAAAGTTATTATAACAGTCAAATAAATGACATGCGCAGTTCAATTATAAAATGCTAAAAACTTGGGAGGTAGGACAAAGCAACTGTGTACAACAGTACCTGGAAATCTCACTGTCTTTTTCACTGCAAATCAACTTAGTTTTGTGGCTGTAAGTCAGGAATGGCACACCTTTATGCACAGAAAATTATGATATGTTGCATTGAATAGAAAGTAGGCCGGGTGCGGTGGCTCACGCCTGTAATCTCAGCACTTTGGGAGACCGAGGCGGGTGGATCACAAGGTCAGGAGATCGAGACCATCCTGGCTAACATGGTGAAACCCCGTCTCTACTAAAAATACAAAAAATTAGCCGGGCGTGGTGGCGGGCGCCTGTAGTCCCAGCTACTCAGGAGGCTGAGGCAGGAGAATGGCGTGAACCTGGGAGGCGGAGCTTGCAGTGATCTGAGATCGCCCACTGCACTCCAGCCTGGGCGACAGAGCAAGAGTCCGTCTCAAAAGAAAGACAGACAGACAGATAGACAGACAGAAAGAAAGAAAGAAAGAAAGAAAGAAAGAAAGAAAGAGGCCCTATTGTAATAAATACAGATTCAACTAATTCAGTTACTATGCACAAGATAATGAAATTTCCAGAATATTACAAATTTTAATGGTGCAGATTATTAAAACTGGGGTCATCTTGGAAATTACAAGATATATATAGCCATATAATAATACCATCATGTCACATTTCTGTACAGCAATGAAAGAAAATTTTTTAAAAAAATCTTGTCAATGTCTGTGTAAGCATGACCACATCATTGCCCTTCTTACCCTGCATCCAGCATTTCAATTAAGATTATCATGGTATGCCCAAGCGTATACTCTGTGTTTTTTCCTAGACATTTCTAATCCAGAAATTTCTGCTTCCACTGCTTCCACATCAGATAGGCCTGAAATTAGACTCTGTGAGGGATGAAGGCATCGATTACTAGGGTAGATGCAGTGGCTGCCCCCTCTCTCCAGGTACCTTTGGAACGGCTCTACCTTCACCACATGCATAAAGGAATTCTGACTACCGCTGAGCTCATGCTGAATATCCAGAAGCATGATGTGAGCCCACCACAGCCTGACTGCCAGGCTCTTATGTGAGCAGGGATGAAAATAAACAGCAGCACTCTCAAGTCTGCTAAGATATCTTTATTAGTGTCTCTTATGTAAAACATTTCCGTCTAAGATTTACACATGCCCAGTGATCCTTATATATATTGATAAGGGAAATTCACAGATTTTCTATGAGAATATTTTCTGTTTCCCTCTCAATGTTAACATTCAAAACACAAGGTAAACATGTTTAGGAATATATTGATGACCTTTTAATGGACAGTAAAACACACAAACCCATACATAGGTTTGCTGAATTCAAAATAACCTGAGCCACTTGAGTACCATTTTCAATATCCTGTTCGATTTATTACTTGGATGCCTTCCTTGTAGTTCACACCCTGCCCCAGTTCATTAATAGTACTTGAAAATCCAAAATGCAGACATTTTAAACTCCGGATTCCAGCAAAAATTACTTTAGATGTCCATTGCTGAAGATTTCAATTACATCTTAAAGCTAATCTGAACATCAGGCAAATGACAGCTTCACCAAGTATTCAAGTGATATAGCATTAAAATTGTCATTCTGGTATTGCTACCTTACAAAGACTTAGATTATTAGGACATCTGATTTTCTGGAGCCATCAAAGTGCTAGGATCATCAGTTTCTGTTTATAATGTTACCAAAACACCAGGGGTTCAGTCTAGGTCCTGCTGCTCACTGCACTGAAAGTCAGTCTCTGAGACTTGATTATTGCTAAGGCAAAAGGCTTTAATCGGGTGCTGCAGCTGAGGAAATGGATGATCAGAATCAAACCCATCTCCCTGGCCAAGTAAAATTAGGGGTCTATATAGCAAGAAAGAAATGTAACAATGCCTAAGAAAGCAGAAATGAGGGAGAGGTAAGAAAGGAATCCTGATGAATGAGCGATCTAGCATCTGATTGATTGTCTGGAGGGGCAATCTGGTGAGTTTTAGTTCTTTAATACTTGTTTTGAGAGGCCTGAATGTGTTTCCTGAAGAAGGAACTCAGATACAGCAAATGTAAGTTTCCATCAGGAGGGCAATTTCTGTTTATCAAAAAACTATCTATGGGACTATTGGGTAGATTTGAATACTACATATTTATACAAATAAGAATTCTCAACATTAGCATTACTTAAATCAAAATTAAGAAATATGTTGCAGACAGGACCAGAACTAAAACTACATCTTTTTCAATTAAACCACTGTGGTTGTGTTGCAGCAAAATACTATATGGTCATTTTTAATTAATGTTGCTTATTTTACTATTATTAATTTTTTATTTTGTTTGTATTAAATCCAAATTTCTTTGTATAGTTACATAAATTTTTTTAATATAAGGGATCTATTGCAATATTTATTTTGAATATGCTTACGTAACAATGTAATAAAAATAATTTGTGTCAAGGGAATACTCAGGTCTAGCAGAATTCATTTTCTTTAGAGTAAAGTGTATTACATTTAAGAAACACTGTATTAAATGAAAGCAAATATCTTACTTGGATATCTTCAGTCTAAGTGTAGCACCTTATGTATTGTGGTTTTATTGTCCATTCTCCACCTGAAATCACATTTTTCAGCTTTTTCCAGGCTTCCTACTTTTCATATTAGTGTTCTCAATTTTGGCTATACATTGTAATCACTTAAGTAATTATTAAAAGTTTATGATGCCTAGATCCCACCCCCAAGAGATTCTGATTTAATTGGTCTCGGAAGCCTGGGTGTCAGGATTTGGGAACAATTCCCTGGGAGGTTCTAATGTGCAGCTGAGGTTGAGAATTACTGCATTGCTCTGAAAGACTAGAAATACAGCATCTTTAAAGCTCATCCAGAAAACCCAAAAGGGCCCCTGTAGCCCATCCACACCACCAGAAGTATTGCCTTATAGAGCAGACATTTTTATAAAAGGCATCATCTCAGACTATATTCACCAGCTTGGAGCCACATGCTCCACAGTGACTTCTCTGCTCAGTGGTGTATATCACTGGTAATTAAGCAGAGAGGAAGCTGGAGTCACAAACGTGATATAGACAAAATTCTGAGAGAGTTATTTCAAAGATAAAGAAGGAATCAGTATTATATGAGAAAATTTCAATAATATTGAAATAATAAATCTATAGGAATCAATAATGAAATTTGGAAAATACAGAATCCCACTCAGACCTTAAAGATGCTGTTCAATCATCAAAGAAGAATATAAACATTATGTATTGCAATTTTTTTTGTATTACTCTCTGTTAAGAACATTGTTGCCTGGGCGCAGTGGCTCACACCTGTAATCCCAGCACTTTGGGAGGCCAAGGCGGGTGGATCACCTGAGGGCAGGAGTTTGAGACCAGCCTGGCCAACACAGTGAAACCCCATCTCTACTAAAAATACAAAAATCAGATGGGCATGGTATCGCACACCTGTAATCCCAGCTACTACTCAGGAGGCTGAGGTGGGATAATCGCCTGAACCCAGGAGGCGGAGGTTGCAGTAAACCAAGATCACACCACTGTACTCCAGCCTGGGTGACCGAGCAGAGAGAGACTCTGTCCCCCTACATGCCCCCCCAAAAAATAAAAAATAAATAATTGTTGAAGGCAATTTTAAAAAAAAGAATCTGTACTGAAGAATTATAAGCAGAATATAAAATCAAGTAATTGCTCTAGAGCATGAAAACATTATTTAAAAATCAAAGTGAATAGAAGAGGAAGATCTAGAGATCCTAGCTTAGAGATTTATTCTGACAGCTTGAAATGGTAGATAGTATATGATGCTGAATCAATCAATGTGATGGATATAAACTTTTCAGAATTGAATTTAAATAATGGCCTTTTATCTTTTTCTGTTTTAAGAAGACTTAAATTTACTAGGATGAAAGAATTAGAGAAAAGAGATAAAATTTAGTGTTAGAAGGTGGAAAACACAAGGTAAACGGAAGACCTTAAAACTAAATCATAAACCGGAAGAGCAAGCCAATTCACATGGCAAAACCTAGAAAAAGTTCAGAAATTGATGGAATCAGTTACCTTTGTAAGTGAATTCAAATGACTGCCTAAAATTATATATGAGAAGCATTAAAATTTGAATGCCACTTTCACTTAAGATCTAGAAAACTGCAGGTGAGTTTCATCTCATTCTAACAACACGAAAAAGCCAGATAATCTATAAAATCCGAAATTATCTTCAACCTATTATAGGGCTCACTTTGCAAGGCAACAAGTGACCTAAATTCTAAGTCATGAGTATCCCCTGTAAGAAGAAATGGAAAAGCTGGACTCTTTTACCTATGGAGATGAATGCCATACAAGTTAGAATAAAGAGACAGAAATTTTAATAAAACCTTTAAAGGGCAAATGTAATAAAACCTTAAAAGGCAAACGTACTCTATCGTGACAGTTTAGAATTAATGAGAGGACTAATAAAAGGAATATCTGCACTCACTACCTTTTTTTCCCATGGGCCTCCATTGGGTGCTCATAAGAAAGACTAGGAATGGGGCAGAATACCTGAAAGCCAGGCTTGGTGGCCAAACAACACTTCAGAACTTCTCTTTCACGAAAAACAAAAGACATAATCTACATAAATCTCTAAGAAAAAAAGGTGTGTAGGTGTTGGACCAAGATTTCATCATTCCTTTCTTAGTACTTGATAGAACAGTAGAAAAAAAAAATCAGTTCCTAGCTAACATGGTGAAACCCCATCTCTACTAAAAATACAAAAAAAATTAGCTGGGCGCGGGGGTGGGCGCCTGTAGTCCCAGCTACTTGGGAGGCTGAGGCAGGAGAATGGCATGAACCTGGGAGGCGGAGCTTGCACTGAGCCGAGATTGCGCCACTGCACTCCAGCCTGGGTGACAGAACAAGACTCCATCTAAAAAAAAAAAAAAATCAGTAAGGATTATAGAAGACTTGAACAACACTGCCAACCAGTTTGACCTGACTGACCTTTGCAGAACACTCAACAATGCAGAAAATACATTCTTTTCAGGAGTGCTAGGATCATTCACCAAAATAGACCATATGGTCTAGTGTAAACAATGTAATTTAAACAAAATAGGCCATGGAGACTAATTTAACCAATCATAAACTAGTTTCAAAGGATACAAAGAATACAAAATATTTTTCTGGCATGATGGATGCGTAATAGATATTTGGAATAACTTAATAGATCTTTGGAAAATTCCTAACACTTGGAAATTATACAACATGCTTTGAAATAACAGGTCAAATAAAAAACCATAAGAAAAAATAGTAAATAATTTCTAATTTCTGATTGAAAATGAAAAAAGAGCCTTCCATTTCCAAAATGACAGAATAAAAGCAAGCTGGTGTTACTCTTCCCCCACAGAAGAACAAAAACAAATATACAGCACTGAGATTATAACCAGCAATATCCCAAACTCACATATGAGAATGAGATAGTTCCTAAAGTCACAGAGAAGTAAAACAACTCCAAGTAGATAGTAAGAGAATCAGACTTCCATATCCACGATGCCCTTCCTTGCAATCAGCCCAGCGCCAAGTGCAAGGAAAATTTCCAGAGTCCTCACCATCTGAGTTTACTAGCAGGAGACCTGTCCCTGTATCAACCCATGGGAAGCATCAGAAATGTCTGAAGGGAGAAATATCCCTGAGGACAGCCAGAGACAAAGCAGGAAGACTACCATCCCCTGTTCAGGAAATTCTGATCTGTAACTCATCCAAAGGAGATGCCAAATCACAGTGGCTGTTCAGCAGCAGTATGGTGTAGGAGATTTGTTCCATAGGTCTCTGGGTACAAACCCCTAGCCAGCGATCTCATACTACCAGGATATTCCCTTTGAGACCTCCCATATTCAGGATGGACAGTACTCTGATAATTTATTAGAACCAAAGAAAATCTTGGCTTAGGGTGTCAGCTACTGTCTAAAAGGAGGAAGCAATCTAGTTGAAAAATTAAAAAGAAAGAAAATCAACAGGCAAATTACAAAGAACCTCTATGCAAACATATCCAGTAAAAGGCAAAATAAGCCAGACAAAATAGTCTGAAATAAATACTCCTTCAATGCAAGTACATAGACCTACATCCACAGGAAACAGTAGCAAACAGGGAAACATGACCCCCTCAAATGGATAAAGCAAGGAACCACTGACTAATCCTAATGAGATGACAATATGTAAACCCTCAACCAAAAATTCAAAATAGCAGTTTTAAGGAAACTCAACAATCTTTAAGATAACAGAAAAAAGCAATTCAGAAATTTCTCAGAGAAATTTAACAAAGATACTGAAATAATTTTTTAAAAATCAAATAGAATCTTGGAACTGAAAAACACATTTGCCAAACTGAAGAATTCTTAGAGGCCCTCAGCAGAATGGATCAAGCAGAGGAAAGTATCAGTGAGCTCAAAGATAAGCTATAAAAAATACACTGTCAGAGGAAAAAGAAGAAAAAGAGAATAAAAATAAATGAAGATCACCTAGAAAATATAGATAATTACCTCAAAAGACCAAATCCAAGAATTATTGGTATTCAAGAGGGAGTTTAGGAAGAGCAAGGAGTAGAAAGAAATAATAACAGAAATAATAAAAAATAAGAGAAATAATAACAAAATTTTACAAAACTTGAAAAGAGATAAAAATCCAGGTACAGGAAGGTCAGAGAATACCAAAGAGATTCAACCCAAATAAGACTAACCTGAAGCATACAATAATCAACCTCTCAACCGTCAAGGACAACAAGAGGATTCTAAAAGCAGCAAGAAAAAAGAAACAACATTTTAAAGAGCTCAAATTCATCTGGCAACAGACTTCTCAGAGGAAATCATACAGGCCAGAAAGGAGTGGGATAACATTTTTTAAATGGTAAAAGAAAAATATTGCTATCCAAGAATATTGTATCTAGCAAAGTTATCCTTCAAGTATGAAGGCATGATAAAATCCTTCCAGACAAACCGAAGCTGAGAGAATTCACCACCACCAGACCCATCTTACTAGAAATGCTAAGAATTCTTTAATCTGAGAAGAAGAACAACCAATGTGCAAAAAGAAAACATTTAAATGCAAAAAATCCACTGGGAAAATTAAGCATGTGGACAAACAGACTACTCTAATATTATAATTGTGATGTTCAATCCACTCATAACTCTAGTATGAAGTGCAAAAGACAAGTCTATTGAAGACAATAATACTTACAGAAACCTGTTAAGAGAAGGTAATATAAAAATACATAAATTGTGAAAACAAAGCCAAAATGAGGGGGCAAGGAGATGGAATTAAAGAGTAGAAATCTGAAAAATGTTTTGTTTATTTCTGTTCTTTTCTTTGTGATCAAAGGTAAGTTTTCATCCCTTTAAAGCAACTTGTTGCATCTATAGAATGTTTTTTGTAAGCCTCATGGTGAGACCACAATGAAATGACCTATAAAGGATTCGCTAAAAATAAAAGGGAACAGATTAAAACATTCTACTAGAGAAAATCACCTAGCCACAAAGGAAGACAGTAGGAAAGGAACAGAGGAGTTCAATAAACAACCGGAAAACAAGCAACACAATGGTAGTAATAAGCCCTTACTTATCAATAACAATGAATGTAAATGAACTCAATTATCCAATTAAAAGGCATGGAGTTGCTGAATGGATAAAGAAACAAGACCCAATTATATGCTATCTACCAGAAAGCCACTTCACCTCCAGAGACACAGACTGAAAGTGAAGGGGTTTCCATGGAGCTGGAAACCAAAAAAGAGCAGGAATAACTATACTTATATCAAGAAATGGACTACAAATTAAATACTAAAAGACAAAGAAGATCACTATATAATGATAAATGCTTCAATTTAGCAAGAATATGTAACAGTTCATAAATATCTATGCACCCAACACTAGAGATCCCAGGTATATAAAGCAAATATTAATAGATCTAACAAGAGAGATAAACTTCAATACAATAATAGATTTCAACACCCCACTCTCAGTATGGATAGACCATCCAGACAGAAAATCAACAAAGAAACATCAGCGTTAAACAACACACTAGACCATAGATACGACATTTATAGAACATTTAATCCACCTGCTGCAGAATATGCATTCTTTTCATCAGCACATATAAAATTCTCCAGAACAGACAATATATTGAGCCACACAAGTCTCAGCAAATTCAAAAAAATAGAAATCATATCAAGTATCTTTTCTGAACACAATAGAATAAAACTAGAAATTAATAACAAGGAAAACCTCAGAAAATACACAAGTATGTAGAAATTAAACAACATGCTCCTGAATGACCATTAGGTCACTGAAGAAGTTAGGAACAAAACTTTAGAATTTTTAAAAACAAATTAAAATGGAAACACAACATACCAGAATCTATGGGCTACAACATGCACAGTACTAAAAGAGATGTTTGTAACAATAAATATCTATGTCAAAAAAGTAGAAAGCCTTCAAATAAACAACTTAAGTGATGCACCTCAAGGAATTCAAAAAGCAAGAATGAATCAAACCCAAAATTAGCTGAAGGAAATAAAAATCTGAACAAAAATAAATAAAATTGAAACTAAAAAACAACATAGATGATCAATAAAATGAAAAGTACTGAAACTAAAAAAGTAATTAATGTAATTTTTATATCAACAGCCTGAAAAAAAGGATATGATCTCCTTAGATGCAGAAAAAGCAAAATTCAACACCCATCTATAATATAAGAAAAACAGAAACAAACGAAAAATTCTCTCAGCAAACTAGAAGAAAGAAAATTGCTCAATCTGATAAAGGACAGCTTCAAAAATCTGTAGCTAATATCAGACATAATGGTGAAACACTAAATTCTTTCATCCTAACAGCAATAAAAAAGCAAGAATGTCTGTACTTATGACATGTATTTGACATTGTGCTATATGTACTGGCCACTGCAACAACACAGATTAAAAATAAATAAAAGGCATACAAATTGCAAAGGAAAAAATTAAACTTTTCTTTATTCATAGACTTCATTGTCCACCTGGTGAGTCCCCAAAGAGCTAACAAAAGGCACTGGACCTTGAATATGACAAGACCACAGAGTAAGTAAAAGGTCAAATATAAAATCAAAAGTACTTCTATATTCTAGGAAAAAACAATTGTAGTGACATGATCCAATTGAGATTAAAAAAAAAAATTCTGGTTAACTGTGAATCATGGCAGGTGATGGCATACTCAGAAGAAGGCCATTTAGGAAAGTTCAGTATTCCAGCAGGTGGTAATGATCAGTTGGCCTGGAGTGATGATGGAGGTGGAGAGTTGATTGATTCCAGAAATGTTTAAGAAGTAAAATCAATGGGATCAGCAATGGATTATTCATGGGAGAAAAGAGAGGTGTTAAGGATCACCATTTTGCCTGGCTTTTGTAAATGGGTGAAAGATGATGCAGTTCACCGACGAAAAAATTCTACAAACAACAACAAAAAGAAACAGATTGGAAACAAAGGTCATATGTTTAGTTTCAGATACAATCAGCCCAAGGTACCTTTGAAACTCTAAGAGAAATCAGATATGCCACTCAGAAGACTTGGCTTAAAGTCATCTGCACCTACTTAAAAACTAGTTGGGGAGTGTTTTACTTCCAATTATGTGGTCAATTTTCATGAGGGGCTTAAAACCTAGATGATGGATTGATAGGTGCAGCAAACCACCATGGCACATGTATACCTATGCAACAAACCTGCACATTCCGCACATGTATCCCGGAACTTAAGTAAATTTGTTTTAAAAAATGAAACAATATTAAAAAAACTAGTTGGGGTTCAAATCACCTAGGTAGAAGTATAGAATAGAAAGAGAATAAAACCTGGGATTAACCTTCCAAGAAAGCAGCACTTAAAGGCTGCGTAAGAAGGATAAAACTGGGGAAGAGGAAAAAAGAATAGTCAGCAAGATAGGGAACAAAGACATTATTTGTCTTAGATGCTAAGAGAAGAACGAATCATCAAAAACTACTTATTCTGAAAAACAGCTTCCAAAAATTATGTGATGTGATGAATTAAGATTTAATTCAAAAATAGGAGCAATTATAGTGAGGAATAAAGTTGGTTAAGCAAAGAGGGATGAATACGTGAAAGTAATTTTTTAAATCAGAGATAAAATCATGCAGGTTGTGCTTTTTTCAAAAGAATTTTAGATTCTGTTTAACGCCTTTACTTGCCCTAAATTCTACTTTGTCTGAAAATAATTTTATTAATGCTACTTTATTTTCTCCCAATTATCATCAACTTCCAATTTTTAAATCTTCTCTTCAGGTCTTTCTTTCGTAGTCTCTTTTGTTGCTATAGTTGTAACTGTAGAAAATGTTTTGAATAAGCCAAGGAATGGTTTAGAGGGGAAATAAAAGCCCTTGTTTTGATAATTAGATAAATATAGAAGACATTAAACCAAATGTTTGCAGTGATCATTTCTGGGTGTTTAAATTTCATATGGATTTTATACCCATCTGTATTAACTAAATACTTTAAGATAAATGTGTATTACTTTTTATATTTTAAAATATGTCATAAAGTATTAATTTTTTTTAAGGAGACACCATTTTCCACCTATTTTTCTTATTCATTGGTTTACCCTTTTTGAGTTGTCTGTTACAGCGTTTTTCTCTTTTTCTACTGGGTTGTTCTTTTTCAAACTTTTCTAAAGCACTCTATATATTAGGCTTGATATCTCTATATATTGTGTTTATTACCTCTTTTCTGTTACACATATTTATGTTTTCTCCCAGTTTATCATTTTAACTTTATTCATATCAGTGGCCATATAAAAGTTTTAATTTGTATGGAGAAAAATCTGTCAATTTTTTCCTATGTGTCTTGTTGGTACATATCAACTATTTTAATAGTGAAAATAAGGGTAATAAATTCGTAGCATTATATATTTGCATAAATTGTGACACAACTATGAGCATAAAGCAAACAAAAATTATTTAGCAACATTTAAAATGTTTACAATTTCTCATTAAGAAATATAGTAACTGCAAACATTGTGATTCAGTCTTTTTACTATATAAACACACAGGAAATGAGGACTGAAAATGGATAGTTATCTTTGTGCAGTTTAATTATAGAAGATATATTCTGTATGCTTTTTTATATTTTTCAGCTTTGTTTCCTGCAATGTACAGAAAAAAAATGGCTTTTATAGGAAAAAAAATCTTCAAAAGTCATTTTAAAAATAAAAGGACATATATGAAAATGATCATAATGATATACAAGATTAAGTCACTGAGTGGATAAGTGGGGATTAAGGGAAAGAGGCTATTTAGGATGCTTCTAAAATTTTGAATCTGGACACCTAAAAGTATGTCCTTGACAATTAAAGGGTATGGGAGGAGATCAAAATGAGGAAAAATTGAAGAGTCCTGCCTTACAAATGTTGAGTTTCTGCTGACAGTGCATTGTCCACGTATGAGTCATTTGAAAATGTAGAACTGGAATTCAAGATGAGAGATACAGATGTAAAAGTCATAGGAAAATTAGTGAAACATGAGCATTTTCAGAATAGGTAATTCCAAAAGGAGATCTATCAAGAGAAGGAATTTGAGGCCAAATCCTTAAAAAACAGTAATGTTCAAGGGAAACAAAGAGCATCTTCTATGGTCTGAATGCATCCCCACAAAATTCATATATTAAAAGTTATTTGCCAATGTGATGATATTAAGATGTAGGGCCTTTGGGAGGTGATTAGGTCATGAGGGTGGAACCCTTGTGAATGGATTAGTGCCCCTATAAAAGGATTCAAGGGAACTAAGGCTAGGCCCTTCTCCCTTTCTGGCCCTTCTGCCATGTGAGGACATAGCATTAGTCCCTGCTGAAGGATGTAGCAACACAATGCCATTTTGGAAGCAAAGTCTGGGCCCTCACCAGACTCAACCTGCCAGCATCTTTATTTTGGACTTTCCAGCCTCCAGAACCATGAGAAATAAATTTATGTTATTTATAAATTACCCAGTTTCTGGTATTTTGTGATAGCAGCACAAACAGACTAAGACAGTACCTGACAAAGGGCATAGAGCAGGAGACACCAGAGCTGATGAAAGAGAAACTGAATGGCACAGACCTGAATTACCCATCTTGTGGATGATGAAGGTAAGAAGAAGGTCTCAAGGAGGAAATAGTGAGCACATAAACATGCTGCTGTGGTTAAGAATATTTAATTTCTGCTTTCATACTTCTAAGTAGGAATCCCTATGGCAAAGTGCCCCATCATCTTTCACCCTAACCCTAAAAGTCCCCAACATAGCCTTTTTATCCTCCTCCTACCTTCAAAACCTACAACCAAGATATATATATATTTTCCAAATTAAGAATAACAGAGGAGTGCTTGGGGGTGGAAATCAGGGAGTTAATTAGGTGGTGCTGGGGCAACAAAATTCTATGTTTAGAGAGGGGAAAGAGCAACATTTGCTCTTGTCTCCTGGCACCTCAATACGAAGAGCTGGATTTCTCAACAACCTTGGCCAGATTCTATGAAGAAATGAAATAATAAGGAAGAGAAAAGCGCCTAAGTAACGGCAGAAAATGACCGAGTTGCCCCTTACTTAGGAAAGTATGGAAGATAAGAAGTTCTGTTCTTTGAAGACCCAGGTCAGGGTAAAGACATCTGAAAGTCCTTTCATGAGTCCTTAGTGGAAGAGAAGAGAATCACTTCCCCCTTGCCAAGAGCATTCCTCAACAGGAATACCAGGCATTGCTGAGCAGCTCTGAATGGAGTACCAAGCCCCATGCCACTCCAAGGGCTGGGTCTGAGTGACTGGTAGTAAATGCCGTGACGTCAAGGACAAGCAAGGGAATGCTTCTCTTGTCGACACAGATGGCTGGATGTCTTGTTTTTCATGTTGTTTTTTTGTTGTTGTCATTTTCTCACCCATTACAGATGAAGAGGAAGGACGAGGACTTTTTCTTTTTTAGGAAGTTAGGGAAGGATCAAGCTCTCTGAAGGAGAAAAAGATAGAGTCAAAAAATTTGAAACTTTTAAAAAAATATTAGCTACAGAACTAAAGAAAGAAGAACATAGATCCAGAACTGAAAACAAATTTTAATGTTTTACAAATGATATTTATGAAGGAAAAATTGTTTTACAAATAAATATGTACCTGTGCCAAGATGACATAACAGACCATTGTCTGATTGGATATGTTATTAATTTTTCTGAAGACAGAGCAAAGGAGTCAAAGATCAACCCCTTTGATACCACTTAAGCTAAACTGAAGGTAAAGCAAAAAAAAAAAAAAAAAAAAAAAAAACTCAGGATAATAATTGGAGAAACAGCTTCCTTAGGAAAGAAGAGCTCATACATTTTTCTCTTAAATCCAAAATGAAAAACCAATATTAAAAATGGACAGAAATTTGATTTGTTTAAAACCAGAGTTGCTCTTGGAAACAAGTAACAAGGACAGTTTGTTCATTGCAGTAGACCTAATAAATTCAAGGAACCAAATGTGTAATTGGAAGTTTGTTATCATTTGGAAAGATCTTTCTTTTTAAAAGCACAGGCGCCCACCAGCAGTAGGTTGGTGTCAAGCAAATAGCCAAGCCAAATAGCGGTGACTTACTCTTTGGCTTGCAGGTAATTGGGGCCATGAAACCATTTTTCAGAGAAGTCCAAACCCCGTGAGGAATGCCTGGGAGGAGGGAATAGAGCAGGGGAGGTTGGAAGGGAGGTGGTGGGGGTCACAATGAACCGGGAAAGAACACCAGTACACGTATTGGGATTAGGGACAGAGAAGTTTTACAACTTTTGAATCTAAAAAAGACAAGTATTTCTTAAGCAGACATTGATACGGGAGATGATTTACAATAATAATAATAATAATAGATATTTATTAAGTGGTTGGTATGTACCAGATAGCATGCTAAGCACTTTAAATGTCATATTTAGTTCTCAAAACAACTCAATTTTATCGATGTAAGTTCTGATTCTCAGTAAGATCAAGTAATATGCCCACATCATGTAACTAGACACAGAGCCAACAACTAAACCCACATCTGCCTGACTTCAATATCACGCTTATTAAACCCCCGCCTCTTCCCTACCACATGCTAAATGAAATGGAAAGGGCCGGGCGCGGTGGCTCAAGCCTGTAATCCCAGCACTTTGGGAGGCCAAGGCGGATGGATCACGTGGTCAGGAGATCGAGACCATCCTGGCTAACACGGTGAAACCCCGTCTCTACTAAATATACAAAAAATTAGCCGGGCGTAGTAGCGGGCGCCTGTAGTCCCAGCTACTTGGGAGGCTGAGGCAGGAGAATGGCGTGAACCCGGGAGGCGGAGCTTGCAGTGAGCCGAGATCGCGCCACTGCCCTCCAGTCTGGGCGACAGAGCGAGACTCCGTCTCAAAAAAGAAATGGAAAGGTTTGTCTCAATTTTATTTTCGGTTTCTGAGATATAGCGAGAGCTGCCTCCTTATCCCTTTTCCTTGTGGAATTCACCAAGAATAGGAGGATTCAGTAAAAAGAGCCAAGGCAAGCTCCTGTGGCTAGGGAAGAGGCAGTCTGAGTTTCTCCTTCTTTTGAGTCGTGCTTATGTTATTGGTGTTTCTCATAGTGGATATTTAAAGCAAAAACAGGTAGGTGTATTTCAGGATGTATAGTTTCAATCAACACTCTTAAAGCAGGCAAAGGAAGAGATTATAAATCAAGCAGACCTGCAGATGGTCCCGTGGTAAGAAGCTTCAGGGCCATCTGCTAATGCTCAACGAATCTCCGTGTCTCACCACCCTCCTGACCACCAAACACATCGCAATGCTCCTGTGGTAGTTCAATTTCTCCTTTGATGGCTGCAGAGAGAAGTTGAAAAAAATATCCCACAAAAGTCTTTCTTCTTCTTTCTCTGTCCCTTCAACTCCAAGAGGAGACTGAAATCAAGGAAGAAATCCTTGCAGTAGAAATCAACATAGTACCACATGCAGAGAGTTCCTGTGTCTATGAAAAGTGGAAAGATCAACCTACACACTTGTCCCCCCGCCCACGTCCTGGATATGGACTGTAGGCCCTGCTGCAGCTCCTGTCCAGCAGCCCCCTCCACCTGGTACTCTCCACCAGGGCTCCAGTAACTCCTCCCTCTGTTTGCCCCTTGGAGGTGGCAGTGAAAATGCTCCCCACCCTGAAGGCTCCCCATGGCTTCCCTGCACTCTGCCCACAACTTTGACGATAATTTCTTAATTAAACTCTTATGTTATTCATTTTTACGGTGCTGTTTCTTGACAATATCCTAAGAGATTCCATCTTATATAACATTAAAAATTGAAAAGCTACATACCCAGAGGAAATGAAATCAGTACCCTGTAGAGATATCTATACTCCCACATTCACTGTAGCATTATTCACAGTAGCCAAGATATACAAACAACCTAAGTGTCCATTGAGGGATGAATGGATAAAGAAATTGTGGTACATATATATAATGGAATACTATTCAGCCTTTTAAAAGAAGGAAATCTGCCATTTGTGACACGGATCAATCTGGAAGTCATTATGCTAAGTGAAACAAGCCAGTCACAGAAACAAAAATCGTGTATGATTTCACTGTGAAATCTAAAACAGACATCGAATACATAGAAAAAGCCAATAGCAGTGGCTCGCACGTGTAATTCCAGCTACTCAAGAGAATGAGGCAGGAGGATCACTTGAGGTCAGGCATTGGAGACCAGCCTGGGCAACATAGAAAACCCTGTATCTTTAAACAAATGAAAAAAAAAAAAAAATCAGTGGGGCGGGGTGGCGCATACACCTGTAGTCCCCACTGCTTGGGAGCTTAGGCATTCAAGGCTACAGGGAGCTAGGATGATCGTGCCATCGCACTTCAGCCTGGGCAACAAAGCAAGACCCTATCTCTTGGAGAAAAAAAAAGTATAGAAACAGAACTAGAACAGGGAGGGAGATTAAGTCTAGAGAGCTCATGTACAGCATGAGGACTGTAGTTCATAATAAACCGGATGAATTATACAACTGAGGAGGGGGTGAGAATGTTGTTAGAATAAAAAAGGCAAGGAAAGACAATATCAGCATGTGTACAACCTACAAAGTCGGGAATTTCCACGCCAACTTATATACAGTCATCCCTCAGCATCTGCAGCCAATTGTTCCAGGCAAACCCCCCACCTTTGCCCCGCCTCCAAAACCAAAATCAATGGATACTGAAGTCTCCAGTTTAAAATGGTATAGTATTTGCATATAACCTAGGCGTATCTTTCTGCACACATTAAATCATTTCTAGATTACTTATAATACCTAATACAATATAAATGCTATGTAAATAGCTGTCACCCTGTATTGGTGTATTTGTATTATATTTATTGTGCTATTTTTATTGTTATTTTTTTTTCAAGTATTTTCAAGCTACAGTTGCTTAAATCCAGAGATGTGAAACCTGCAAATACAGAAGGCTGACTGTATTGTGTAGTATATCGGAAATCAGCTAAGAAAGTAGCTTTTAGGTGATCCCACCTCAAAAAGTAACAATGGAAGATGATGGATAGGATAATTTGCTTGACTGTAGTAAACATTTCACTGTGTATATCACAACATGATGTTGGACACCTTCAATATATACAATGAAATAAGAAATTTGATACCAGGGAAGTACTGTAGAGATCCTTCCTCACCTTCATTGAAACCCCCTTCATGCTCTGTCCTTTCTCCCTCAGATTCCACATGCTGCACACTTCATATGCACATCGTTATTTCCCGCTGTCACCTCTGTGGCTCTTTATTCATATGATGAAGCCCTGCCTCTCCATCCTCCACCCGCTTCTACCCCTCCATGCCACCTCCACCTTTCACTCCCAGGACTGCCTGTGTCATCACCTGCATGGATTCTTTTCACTTCTCTGCCAGCTTCAAGGTGCTGCCTTGTAAGGTATTTTATTCTGCCAGCACCTCCAAAGGATATAATTTGTCTCCTTGCTGCACCACCAAATCATGATGATCCCACTCTTAAAGGTCCAAATAGGCCAGGTGCAGTGGCTCATGCCTGTAATCCCAACACTTTGGGAGGCCGAGGTGGGCAGATCATGAGGTCAGGAGTTCGAGACCAGCCTGGCCAACATGGTGAAACCCCCGTCTCTACTAAAAATACAAAAGAAAAAAAAATTAGCTGGGCTTGCTGGCAGGCACCTGTAATCCCAGCTACTTGGGAGGCTGAGGCAGGAGAATCGTTTGAACCTGGGAGGGGAGGTGGAGGTTGCAGTGAGCCAAGATTGCTCCACTGCACTCCAGCCTAGGCAACAGGGCAAGACTCCATCTAAAAAAAAAAAAAAAAAAAAAAAAAAGTCCAAATAACATTCTACTTCACTTGCAAAGCCTGCATTACAGAATCAAAAGCTGTAAAGCAGATTCTTTCACACTACTAACCTCAACACAACCAAATTGTCTTCGCTAGCTCTTCATGTGTGTTCCAAATTTGTACTCTGAATATATATTCAAGAGTCCATTTGCTTATTACCTATAGACACAGTTACTTGTTCTTGGGATAGCTGTGCCTTCTTTGCAAGGCACATTGTCATTGACAATGGGCACTCATTATTTGTTTCTGGGACTGCTAGTTAGAGCAAAGGGAAATGCATAGGCCTGCCTTCTCTCTCATCTCATTCTGTTATTAAAAGCGAGTCCTTAAGAGTTTGTCTCACTGGGTTCAATTTTCAACACACAGGCTATTCAAATGCTCATTCTACATTGAAATCAGCATGGAATGTGTAATAACAGGAAAGAGAAATATACAGACTCTCTGTGCTTGGCATGGCAATGTGTCACGTGGCTTGAAAAGGTATGTCTGGGAGTATCATATGGCTGTTACTCAGCCTGGACACAGAAGAGCTTTGTATGGCATCCCTCACTGTCCAGCCCCAAATAACAGATATTCAGCTGAGCTGGCTCACATTGACTGTGAGAAGTTTCAATCTAGTTAATGAAATATTTTTTCAACTGCAAAATATTCATTTTTGTCCAAAAGAAAAAAATTCAATCACTTATTTTTACTCCCAATCCAAGATCATGTTTCAATCTTTTGATTCAGAGGACCCAGGATTACACCTTAAATATAATAACTCATCTTCTTAATTTTCAAAGCATGATTGCTTGGAGTGCTCTCTTTTAAATATATTCTTATGTGATAATTAATTCCCATTAATTAAATGCTTGTAAATGCTACAACAACCCTATGAAGGAGGTACTATTTTTCAAATGTCAAAAAATGAGGCTTAGGATGTTGAAGAAACTTGCCCACATTCACAAAGTTAATATTTGGGGATCTTGAATTCAAATGCAAGGCTATCTAATTTCAGATACTGACAGTTTGGCTGTGTGTCCCCACCCAAATCTCACCTTGAATTGTAATAATCCCCACATGTCAAGGGTGGGACCATGTGGAGATAATTGAATCCTAGGGCCAGTTTCCCCCATGATGTTCTGGAGACAGTGAGTTCTCACAAGATCTGATGGTTTTATAAGGGTCTTCATTCTCTTGGCACTCATTCTCTCTCCTGCTGCGCCGCAAAGAGGTGCCTTCTGCCATGATTTTAAGTTTCCTGAGGCCTCCCCAGCCATGCAGAACTGAGTCAATTACACCTCTTTTCTTTATAAATTACCCAGCCTCAGGTATTTCTTCATAGCAGCATGAGAATGGACTAATACAGGTACCAAGTTTTTTTTACCACCATACTACTAGCCTGTTAGAATAGACCAGTGTTGACTGTCTTCAGTGAAAGACAAAACCGAGATGATTTATTCTAGAAGTGTTCTTATGACTTATTTTTCTAAGTCACCAAGAAAGCTGTACCACATAGCAATGGGATGGATTCATGAGCCAAGGACAGTATTCATATCATTTCAAGAGAAGGATAAGCAGAAAATCCTTGGAATAGCTTAGGAACCTAGGAGCCAGAAATAGCAAATCTCTTCTTGCTGCTTCATATCAGAGGTGATAGAAAACTGCACTGCCTCTTGGATCATGTACCCCCAGAAGACTGTCAATAAGAATTTTCCATGATAAAGTCAATTTCTGACAATCGCAGATTTTTCACCAAATCTCTGATTTGTCAAGCATTATTGAAGAGCTCTTTCAAGTTAAACTGATTTGGGGGAAGGGAGATGTCATTAAAATCAGTGGGATTAGCCACTTGGAAAATAGCAAAGGCTGGGAGGCTGCTACAAAAGAAGCTGGCAACACATGTGATTCTTTGGATCACTGGCCAGTCCTCATGGGTTTTCTCTTCAAAAGACACAGCCATAGCCATGAGAAAAAGAACCCAAACACAACACTCACAACAAAATTAAAGTTGTCCTAAAACTTGGCTTCCTTACTACTGGGACATAGGATCCAGATCTTATCCCATCCCACATCACTCAAAAAAGGATATTTTTTTCCCACAGTTTTACAACTTGTGAGGTTCTTTTTTCTAAAGATGTAAGAGAAATAAATTGAGAGGCTCTGCAGTTAACTTCCTGTTTTTCACAAATGCAGCTATGTATTTCTCTAAAAAGTCAACTGGAGCCATTTCACTATGAACTTTATCACTTGGGGAAAGAGCCAAAACAGCTATCAGGTCTTATATCTTCATCCGAGCTATTTATGTCTAGAAGCCAGTTATTTTAAGTGACATCAAATAAACAATTTAACCATGATAAACACTTGGGACACTCAGCTGCTGTCCCTCTCTTCTCATTAGTATGTGTAATCATATGCATGCATTGTATATAAATGACAACGATCCTTCAGAGTCAAAAAGACCTTGCCCACGGTGTTGTCCGCATGGAACTGTGACTGGATGCTTCAAAGCAGTGCTCTCTTCTCTAGGCATATGTGAGTATCCCGAACTGATGTGGCCACACTGGGGCCTTTTGAGATTCTGGCTGCCTACCACATTGCTCTAGAGTGGCTGATATTCCTTAATACCCCACAGTTTAGTCTTTAGGCCATTAATTAAGCTTCAGTTTTGTAGAGCTTGTCTACATATATATGTAGCTATGCTCTATGATGCCCCTACTGTATCCACTAACACATCTTTTAGCCTCTCAATACCTATCATGGTAACAGTCCCAAGAAAAAGTGGCTCAAACTTAGACTTTGGGTGGAATAATTCCTGCTATTGCTGATTGAAACAGGAATCATGGCATAAACCAAAGTAATCCTATCTAGGCCTATATATGCTATAAATGTATTAGAAAGGCCCCCAACTCAAAACTGGCTCAAATGCTGGCATACCAGCATGTTTCATATCAAATAGGCAAAAACCAAATCACATCCCTTGTTTGGAGAAGTATAAATACTTCAAGTCAGTGGATCACTTCAAGTCAGGCTGTTGTTGCAAACAAAGCAGAGGTACTCTGTTGAGTCTTATTTGTGAATCCTTGAGAACCAGAAGGATTGCTTCTGAAGCATTTCCATAATACCACACATTGCTGAGCTTCCGTGCAGCAATTGCCTGTGGTGAAGCAGACTTACACACATCTCTTTAAAGAGGCTAAGACATCATCTATTATTTCAGTCTCAAAAAAGATTGAGAGGCTTTCAATCTCAAATAAAAAGTAAATATTTTAATTCCATTTTAAAGATGGAGAAACAGGCTCAAAAAGCTTAAGTGGCTTGCCCAAAGCCCAAGAGGGAGTAAATGGAAGAGGCTCTATGTGCAGGGGGCAGTGTCATGTTCTTCAAAGCCATGATGCTGTCGGAGTCTCAAAGGCTAACCCTACATAAAAAGGAACAAAGAGGATGAGCAGGAGGGAATTGTTACCACTCAGGTTCCCCTCCTGGCCCAGTGCTGTTACACTGGCACCTCCTCCAGGACTGCAACTGTTGAATCCATCCTGGAATGGTTTATTTGCCCATCTTTAATCCATCTAAGCCCAGTTCTTTTAGATTTCCAAGTAATAATCCACTAACTGATGAAGACGTCCAGATTGCTGTGATGGAGCAGGGAGGCCTCCTTCCCTCTTGGGGCCATCATACTCCTCTAGGGCCCTGTCCAAAGCTCTGTCTTTGGACTTTTACTCTAATATTAAAGAATCAGTCATGGCAGAGAGGAAGGCAGTGTGATTGCAGGCTGATGGTGCTGATAATATTTTGGGATCAGTGAGGCCTTATGACATGCTTGGAGAGTATCCTGTATGACTACCTACTTGTGGTTAGCTTTGGTTGTTGAACATACGAACACACTATCATCATCCCCAGACATGTTTTTAATAATAAATAGTGAGGCATTCTCGCCAACATTTAAGGTTTGGGGGAAAAAAAAAAAAGCTCTAGAGAAAAATACTTTGAAAGGATGTTTTTGTAGGGCAGCCGCCTTTGCTGGTTGCTGTCAGCAGGGATGGCTATTAGCAGGACATCTAAGAAGCTGGAACAGAGAGTTATCCTGGGATTTGTCCCCTGCCTCTGGGAGGAAGAAGGTGATTAATGCACCCTGCAAGTAATAAAAGATCAGCTGAGAAACAATCCTGGGGCTTTGATAGACTCTACCAGCACCCCATAAATGAGACTAATAAAAAAATATCCATCGAAGAGGCTGGCACATGCAGGTCTCTCAATAAATGGGAGCTCTTATTGTTTCTTATACATTGATGAAAATAGCAGAAGAATCTCAGATGGTGATTTACTCATGGGAGCACTTGGCAGATTTCCACTGAATACCATACATTAGATAAAAACCCAGAAAGAAACCCTAGATAAACATTGGAGAGCCAAGAAAATAAAAGCAATTATCTAAAATGTGATTCCTGCCTCCAGTCACGCTAAGACTGTGTCTATTTTTACAGCATTGATCATAATCTGAAATTATCTTTGTTCACTGTGGTATCTCCAGAATCTAGAACAGTGCCTGCCTGGCATACAGTATGTGCCCCATAAATGTGCATTGAGTAAATACACAGATACATACTTACAGTGTTGAATGAATATATATCAAGTCAATCAATAACTATTTAGAAGCTCAATAAAGCTACATTTAGGCTATGTGACCTTGGACAGTCACTTGATGTCTCTTTGATTCATTTCTTCATCTATAAAGTAATTATAATACCAATCTCACCAGGTTGTTATGAAGATTAAATAGTTTAATACACATGAAAACAATGTATAAACCATTGGTACAAGGCAAGTATTAAGACTATTACAATAGAAATAAACAGAGTGAGATAATGGGATTATTATATACTTAAGACCTGAGCTTTACAGAACTGATCCCAATGGGAAGCAGGTCCTCATTTTGAGTCCCACTTTTTCTAAATGATTATTTAATAAGCATGCTTCTCCCTGATCTCAGAATGTGTATATATCTTTCCCACTGCCTATCTTGGCACTGTGCACATGTAACAATGTTAACGTCTTCTGCCTAACTCTTACTCATCCCTGAAGACCCAATTCAGGGGCTGCTTCCTCCCAGAATTTCCTGATGTTCTGCCTGAATTCTCCCAACTCCCACACTGTGACTAAGTTGGATCTTTCTCATCTGTAATCAGAAAACTGTTTTGCCTGTTTCTTTGCTTAATCATCAGGACTGGACCATGAACTCTTTGAGAATTGTGGCTTTCCTCTGATTATCATCTGAACCTAGAACAGTGTCTGATACAAAGAATTCAGTAAGTGTGGAATAAATTAATTATGAATGAATGAGAATTGGAAAGGCCTAAGTTTCCATGGGTCAGCATAGCAGAAAATTCCCTAAGGCAAGTTAATGGTTAATCTTCCAAATGTATTCTAAGTACTGACTCACAGACCTTCAGGAATGTGTGTCCTTGAAGGGGTTAGAAAAATGTCAAGTTGGGCATGGCTGTTTATCTATTAAATGATATTTCCCCCTTTTATTTTCCTTATATGTCTCCTCTAGCAATAAACAGGGTCTCTCTTCTTACCATGGCATGAATACAGCATAAACCACAAACTCCACACATTCCTTTTACTGAGGCAACTGTACATGTTTTCCACAACTGAAGCAAAAGAAAAAGAAGTTAGATGCAAGACGTAGAAGTCATCAGCAATTTCTTAAGGTCTCAAAGATTATTAAAGGAATTGACATTTGCAAAATCACTTTGAACTCTGGCATTCAGCAGCTTTTTGAATGTTCCATACAATGAAAAGTTCCATTCCCATAAAGTCAGAAATACCTTTCTGGGCTCATTTCACATCAGAATGCAATAAGGTTCATAAATGTCTCTGTGAAGTTTGAGTGTAATAAAGTTCAGCTATAAAACATTTAATATGCAACAGGCTTCTACACCAGCTGAAGCACTGACTCTGTTTAATGGGGCTCCCTTTACAGCATACTTCACCAGCAACAAGAAGAAACATTTTTAAAAATCTATAAATACCTGCAATACAACCATCAAAGTCTTTTTTATTCTTATTACAGATCAGGCTGAGGCAAACTGACATGCCTGATCACTCCACCCAAAGTATGTTCATAGAAAGCTCTTGTAACTCTGTCCCAAAGAACATTTAAAATCTACTTTGGATGTCTTTCAGCAGTTGATATTCTCCAGCAACTTCAGCAGCAGCCTCTCCTACAAAATGAGGGTTTTATTTTCCTTTGAGAACCAAAGAAGCAGGTTCCTTCCACCTGTCCAGAGTTGTTTGTGTATCTCCTCTTCAGCCCAGTCCAGGTCCCAGCACTGAGCCATTGGCCCCTAGATAGAGCAGTCATATTAACGGAGTTCAGTGAGTCCGTTCAGTTTGCAGTTTGGGTCTATAGTCCCAGGGTGTCTCTTTTCTAGAAATGACCACATCAGTCAACTAGGAGATCCCTCTTTCATTTCATACTTCTCCAAGGCTGACAGGAATGCATCTACAATGATTTAAAAGAAAACTACAAAGTTCACTTTCTCACTGTATTCATGTTTCTATGGAAATGTCTTCATCACATATAGCCTTTCCTGACTACGCTGATTAAAATCACTCCCCAATTAGACTATATCCCCTTATCCTGTCTTATTTTTTATTCCTTTTATAATCCCTCACTTGTTGTTTGTCTCTCCTCACTAGGATGTAAGCCCCGTGGAAGCTGGGACTTTATTTCACTCACTCATTGCTATGTTCTCAGGAATTACATTATTTCTTCTTCTTAAATTCCAAGTAACACGTGCAGGATGTGCAGGTTTGTTACATGGGTAAACGTGTGCTGTGGTGATTTGCTGTACCTATCAACCCATCACGTAGGTGTTAAGCCCAGCATGCATTAGCTATTTTTGCTGATGCTCTCCCTCCCCCTGCCCCCCACCCCCAACAGGCCCAGTGTATGTTGTTCCTCTCCCTGTGTCTATGTGTTCACAGTGTTCAGCTTCCACTTATAAGCGAGAACACATGGTGATTGGTTTTCTGTCCTGTGTTAATGTTCTGGAAGCCATTATCCTCAGCAAACTAACATGTCCAGCTCCATCCATGTCCCTGCAAAGGACATGATCTTTTTCCTTTTTATGGCTGCATAGTATTTCACAGTGAGAATGTACCACATTTTCTTTTTACAGTCTGTCATTGATGGGAATTTGGGTTGATTCCGTGTTTGCTATTGTGACTAGAGCTGCAATGAACATATGCATGTCACGCATGTATCTTTATAATAGAATGATTTCTATTCCTTTGGGTACCTACCCAGTATTGGGATTGCTGGGTCAAATGGTATTTCTGGTTCTAGGTCTTTGAGGAATCACCACACTGTCTTCCACAATGGTTGAACTAATTCACATTCCCACCAACAGCGTAAAAGCATTCCTATTTCTTCGCAGCCTCGCCAGCATCTGTTGTTTCTCGACTTTTTAATAATCACCATTCTGACTCGCATGAGATGTTATCTTATTGTGGTTTTGATTTGCATTTCTTTAATGATCAGTGATGTTGAGTTTTTTTTTATATGTTTGTTGGCCACCTAAATGTCTTCTATTGAGAAGTGTCTGTTCATGTCCTTTGCCCACATTTTAATGTGGTTGTTTGCTTTTTTATCTTGTAAATTTAAGTTCCTTGTAGATTCTGGATATTAGATCTTTGTCAGATGAATAGATTGCAAAAATTTTCTCCATTCTGTAGGTTGTTCGTTTGCTCTGATAGTTTCTTTTGCTGTGCAGAAGCTCTTTAGTTTAATTAGATCCCATTTGTCAATTTTTGCTTTTTTGCAATTGCTTTTGACATTTTTGTCATGAAATCTTTGCCCCTGGCTATGTCTTGAATAGTATTACCTAGATTTTCTTCTGGGGGGTGGTGGTTAGAGTTTGGGGTTTAACATTTAAGTCTTTAATCCATCTCGAGTTAATTTTTGTATAATTTTTGTATATGGTGTAAGGAAGGGATCAATTTTCAATTTTCTGCATATGGCTAGCCAGTTCTACCAGCACCATTTATTAAATAGGGAATCCTTTCCCCATTACTTGTTTTTGTCAGGTTTCTCAAAGATCACAGATGGTTGTACATGTGTGGTCTTATTTCTGAGTCCTCTATTCTGTTCCATTGGTCTATGTGTCTGTTTTTGTACCAATACCATGTTGTTTGGATTACTGTAGCCTTATAGTATAGTTTGAAGTTAGGTAGAATGATGCCTCCAGCTTTGTTCTTTTTGCTTAGGATTGTCTTGGCTATTGGGGATCTTTTTTGAATCCATATGAATTTTAAAATAGTTTTTGGAATTAGAATTATTTCTAACACCTGGTTGATACTCAAGAAATGCCTGTTGAAATTGGGCATTGTGGCTTATGCCTGTAATCCCAGCACTCTGTGAGGCTGAGGTGCGTGGATCACTTGAGGTCAAGGAGTTCAAGACCAGCCTTGCCAACACGGTGAAACCCCATCTCTACTAAAAATACAAAAATTAGCCAGGTGTGGTGGTGGGTGGCTGTAAGGAGGCTGAGGCAGGAGAATCGCTTGAACCCAGGAGGTAGAGGTTGCAGTGAGCCGAGATTTCTCCACTGCACTCCAGCCTGGGCAACAGGGTGAGACCCTGACTGAAAAAAAAAAAGGAATGCCTGTTAACTTTAGTATGGATGAAAGAATGAATGAATAAATGAATGAATGACAAAGGCAGGAAGTTGTGGACAAATTGTATAAAGGAAAACTACGGAAGCCCAAATTGTAGTTAGCCCATATCCAAACACCATGTACAGTCACATGCCTCCCTGTTTCTATTCATGTTGTCCCCTCTGCCTGTGATGTCCCAGCTCCCTGCAAAGGTACCTGTCCTTTAACACAGTGCCAATATCACCTACTCTCTGAAGCTGCCACAACCCTCACAAGGCAGACAATCATGCCCCCTCTATGTTACAAGTGCATTGTAAACTTATCTCTATAAAATCCTTTTAACAAGGTACCCCCACCGCATATGCACACACACATATACACACACCCCTGCTGCCTCCTATATAAGACAGCATGTTTTCTAAAGACACAGCCTGGTATACAACAGTGTCACACAACATATACTGGTTGGGCACTGACTGTTTAAGGCACTTAGGATACGTCAGTGAGCAAAATACACAAAGATCCCTAACTTCATTGAAATTATACTCTAATAAATGTGAACTAAATATTTGTTTCAAAAATGGATTTTCCTTTATGATAGCTGGCTCAGCCTTCTCATCCATGAACTCAGCATTTTACTTTCTACATCAAATTGCTTGCAAAGGAGAGATATTTACTGAGGAGACAAGGGGAAAGATAAGTCTTTCTTTTTTAAGGGTTTCACCATTGAGCGCCATTTCAAAGGTTAGATTTAGAAACTCAGCTTTTAGATAGCAAAAAGAAAAAAAAAAAAGAAAGAGAAGGAAGTGAGGAAATCAATGTTTTCCTTAGGAATAGGGTGAGGTCAGCAGCATAAAAAACACCCATGACAGCAGGACCACAATAGGAAGTCAAGGCAGAGGGCCTTGACCCACTGCTCATTCCAGTTCCATCCCTGCAGCTATGAGAACCAAGCACTATGACTGGTCCCACAGCACCCATGGAAATCAACCTGAGATTACACCTTGTGTATACGAAGCTTGGGAGCATTACTTGCAAGTGACGGTAACTAGTGGTTAAACCCATGATCAATACATATACATTCTGGTGTGATGGTTTTGTTTTGTTTTTTTTTTAAATATAAAGAAGGCACTGAAGGAGGGGTTCTTTGGACTGAAATATTTGAAGGCCAAAGAAACTCAAAATTATTCAAGATGTTAGAAAATCTAGGCTTTCCTACATGGCCTCTACATATAAAGGCTTGCTCTTTTCATCACTGACATCTCCCTGCCCTATCAATAAATTGTCAATATTCTCTAAATCTCAAATCAGAACAGGTCATGCGTCAAACAGAGGTGGACCTACGGTACAGAGAGTCTGCAGGTTTGAAATAAGAACTATCCCATGAGATATAGATTAGGTGCACTATAGCAATAGAAAAGTGCCCCAATCTTAATAACAGGCTTCTGCTGGGGAATACAGGAAACAAAATTAATGCTTTACCTAGCGTCTATTTCCACATCCATTAAAAAGGTAATGCATTAGTTTTCAAATATTCAAACTGACATAGGCTAAAGAAAATAATAGAATTTTAGGACCAGCAAGGTCTGTAAATCCTCTCATCCTCCCTTCCACCTAGTGCCTGCACCTTTCCTGAAACAACCCTTTTGTGTTAATACCCAGCTTCTTTTGAACATCTTCAGGGTAGATTACTCGTTGTGCATTTGTCATAAAACTTCCTTACACATCCCCCAAAGATATTTAATAGCTGATATTTATATATCTGCAAGGACATATATTGATCTGGGGAAAAAAAGAACTTTTAAAATTCTGATTTCCAAATGTTTCTTCAAAAGAGAAACATTCAGTGAGACTAAAGGGCGGGGGCTGCCCAAATGGGATCCAGACACCCCAGCACAATGCTCTCTTCTGTGTCTCATAATCACAAGAGGAATTAACTAGGGGTTAATTCAATCTATGTAATGTTCTCAGAGGAGGAAAGAAATAACTTTCCCCCTATTTTTCAAGCTATTTACCTTCATGTCCCTTGGAACCTTTTAAATAACATTACTTGAAAATCCAGTCTGTAAGCTGCCTTTGGCTCCAAAAATCATTAAAGAATTTATAAGCTGTTTTCTCTCCTATCCCTGGAGCTGCTGCCAGGGGAAGCAAAATCCAGACATTTGCAACTCAACACCAGTGAGTGCCTGGTTAATCTGATCAATGAGGAGGCAGCAGTTGCAGTCACCTTTGACACAGGGCATCTGACAGGCGGTGACACTCTATTCTTAATAGTGCTACCACAAGGCACTCGCCTGGCCCCCATCCAGCATGGTGGAGCTCTGGGTTTTAGGGGGTGAAGACTTCCAGGCCAGGTACCAGTCCAGACAAGGCCGACCTCTCCTGTCTGCCAGGGCCTCTCTGGAAAGCCCAGAAGGACAGACTGTCTTGGGAGGCTTCTGATATTTCCTGCTGGTGACGTCCAAGCGATGATGGCAATGGCATGCAATGTTCACCTGAGGCCCTTGGGGTAGTATATAACCCTGTCAGGGCAGTCCAAACAAATGTCCCAATTTAATCATCTAGTGCTAATGGTGGCATTTGGGATCTCATAAATCATAATAAAAAAGTTTTCTGCCTGAGCTCCTCAGAGAGTTTCCAACAACAGAGCTTTAGCCAGGCCTGTGCAAAGCCAAAGAATTCTCTTTAGTCACCTGCTTGTGATGGCAAACCTGAGGAAGCCTGTGTCCTGGGAAATATTCAGCAGTGCAGGGACCACAGCAGTGGAGGCAGTCCTTGTCTACTTGGGAGAGTCAGCCTTTGCCTCACCTTCCCAACTCTCAGTCAGGGAAGGATTTCTCAAGTAGGTTGTGGAAGGGAGATGGCAACAGTGGTCTTTTAGATTTTCTCATTCCATTTATATTTTTCAATTTTTAGATTCCCTCTTCACCTAAAACTTATCTTAGAATTCTTGTGAGAGCAAGGGGTTCTTAGAAATTTGGATATCAAAATAGAATAGGGCTCTCTCCTCTTTTATCTGACAAAAAAAAAAAGCATATGTATTAAAGTGTGTGTAGACCACATAAACACACACACTAAATTTATTGGTCTAAACAATATATAGCACTCAATTTATAATGGATACTCAATGAAAGTTAGTTATCATCATAAAAATAAATAAAATAAATGGATTGGGCTGAACCAACTCTCCTAGTTTTCACCAGTCTGATATCACTTTTGCCTAATTTATATTTTTTATGAGGAGGAAATGATGGGTCTCCTTAGCTGTAAGAATGACAATCTAGGCAGTTAAGATTGTTTAACCTATTTATTTTATTTAGTAGAATGAAAAAAGTGGTTAAGATGGCCCACTCAGCCAGAAGTGGTGGCTCACGCCACCCCGTCTCTACAAAAAAATACAAAAATTAGTCGGGCATGGTGGCGCATGCCTGTAGTCCCAACTACTCAGGAGGCTGAGGCAGGAGAATCGCTCGAACCTGGGAGGCAGAGGTTGCAGTGAGCCAAGACTGCACCACCGTACTCCAGCCTGAAAGAGCAAGACTCTGTTTTAAAAAAAAAAAAAAAAAAAAAAAAAAAATGACCCACTCAGTTATTTCACTGACACATAGTGAAGAGCTTGACTGGGGCTGGGCATATTTCAAAGAAAAGTATATGAATATCTTTAAAGGACTAACACCCCATTCTTTCAGAAGAGCGTTGAGACACATTGTCAGTGTCATGATATGAATGGCCCACACCATCCAGACCATCAAGTCCCCCAACCTTGGTCATCTACAGTGACAGGTTATTCTTTACTTGCTTCATACATATTGGTCTTAACTTGCCTAAGAAATAGCGCTAGTTCACTAAGAGCAGGAGTCAAGTCTTGTGCTGCTTCTCTATCCCCAGTAGCAAAGTATGACAGTGAAGTGTCTCAGTGACATCCACCAGAAGACGTATCAGGACTCAGTAAAGGAAAATCCCCCTCTATGAAGAGCATGTAGCTCCCCGGGATAGATTAAATTCACTCCTAGCTAGAGGCCTGGGTTGAGGTGTAGACTCAGATGCTAGGGCTAAAAGCGAAATGGAGACAGGAAGTAATGATACAGCAGCTTGAACAGTGAGCTTACTGGAATTCTTTCATTTCTACGTTTATCTCAATAAGTGTCTTTATCCTCAGCAAAGGCTGCCTGCCATGTGTCATCAAAACTCAATTCCTTTTCCTCCTAGACATGCAAGTAAACTAAATTCCCTAGCCTCCCTTGCAGTTATAAGTGGCCATGTGATGAAATATTTAACCAATGCAAGGTTAGCAGAAGCAATGTGTACCATTAACAGACCCCACTGATAAAACCCTCCCACAGGCAACTCCCTCTTCTCTCCCCAGGCATCAAGTGAATAGAGAAGATTCTATGGATGTAGAAGAGGTCCCTGGGTTTCCGAATTGCCACTGGATTGCCTCTATCAAATACACAAGAGTTTCATGAGTGAGAAATAACCTTCTGTTGCTTTAAATCTTGGGTTGTGCAATACATCAGTGAGCCTACCATGACTAATACATTCTATGGATGCAGATTTCTCTTCTCTGGCCATTGACATGAGTGTGCTTTCTGGATGCAGGTTGGTGTATATTGCTATCATTTTCTGCCTTCTCATGTTTGATCTGGCTCTTAACCAGTTATTTTTGGTAAACACTTTATACAACAACCTCCTTTCTTCTAGAGATTTCCAGTTTCCTTGAAATGAACTTTAGTTATGAGTAACATTAAAAATGTCTCTGTGTTCTGCACATGGGCACAGGGAAGGGAACAACACACACTGGGGCCTCTCAGGGGGTGTAGTGGGGTGGGAAGAGGGAGAACATTAGAAAAAGTAGCTAATGCATGCTGGGCTTAATACCTAATGGGTTGATAGGTGCAGCAAACCACCACGGCACACATTTACCTAGGTAACAAACCTTCACATCCTGCACATGTACCCCAGAACTTAAAATTTAAATTTAAAAAAAACTCTATGTTCTGTAAGCTTTCTCTTATAGAACACAGAGCTATTTTAAACTTAACCACTCCCTCCCCACTTAAAACTATTAGTGGGGAGGGAGTGGTTAGGAGTGGAAATAAGAGAAAGGGGTTGTAGACAAAGCCATAGAGAAGAGTCATATTCAAGAAAAACTTTTCTTATCTCCGAATAGAAGTCACTGATTAACTGCTCTTCTTGCTGAAACAAACTGTGAACCAGAAGCTAAGACTCACCTTAATACTTAGGAAAAATAATTTGGCCTTCCCTTCTGTTTTGAACACAGGAAGGAATGGCCACGTATCTTTGACTTTGAAGACAACTAGAATTTCACGTATTATTCCGGGAGCAAAATCAACCCCTCTGTGAGAAAGAGAAAGGTGGAAACAGAGCATTTGGGCTTGGGAAGAGAGTAGTTGCTATGCAGAGCTCATTGTTTACTGAGCATCTCTATAACATATGCCTTATGGGAGGTAGGAGATGAGTGAAAACAAAAATAGACTAGGTTAGACACAGAGTTTTTATAATAATTACTAAGAAGTGCCAGTAAAATTTACTGTTGATCCAGTTTACTGTAAGCTTCGTGTCCTTAACACCATCATAAATGATGAACAGATTAACAGAATGTAAACAAATTCTTCTCAGAAAACTTTTTTTTTCTTTTTTTTTAAGTCACAGGGGACCCAAGATTCTTGGACAGAATTCTCGCCGGGAGCCAACTCAGCCTGATCTGCTGGCATCTCTCAAGTATCAGAAGTCAACAAAATGGTTTGCCTTGAAGACTTGGCCAGAGCAGCAGCCAAAGTTCATAAGGCTTTCGTAGAGAGATTGTTTGTCTAAGAAAACAAAATTCTAAGGGCTCCCATTGTGCAGCTGGGGTGGCAAAATGCAAACTAATATAAGGAAAAAAAATGCTTTTCATTTCCATGGAAGAAATGACCCATCCTATTGTTGATATTTCCTTTTCTGTGCTAACTTATTCCATTAATTAGGCTCTCGTTTTATGAGATAATTTCACTGCATGCGTATCTTCTTTTGGTTATTACACAAGGACTGTTTTCTATGGTTCATATCTAAGTCCAACCCTGGAAAAATCTTTTTTTTTGAGACAGCCTTTTTTGTTTTGTTTTGAGACAATACTCCCTCTGTTGCCCAGGCTGGAATGCAGTGGTGAGATCATAGCTCACTGCAACTTCTGCCTCCTAGGCTCAAAAAATCCTCCCACCTCAGCCTCCCAAGTAGCTGGGATTGCAGGCATATGCCATCACACCCGGCTAATTTTTGGATTTTTAGTAAAGTTTTGCCATGTTGGCCAGGCTGATCTTGAACTCCTGCCCTCAAGTGATCTGCCCACCTTGACCTCCCAAAGTGCTGGGATTACAGGTGTGAGCTACTGTGCTCAGCTCAGCCATGGAACAATCTTGATGTATAATTTATCTGCAGGTATCTCCATCTCTATTTGCCACTCTTAGTAAATGTTTTAGTTTGACAGTAAACGAGTTGAGACATTAATGATTGAGAGAGCACCTAAGCAGCTCGAAGTGCTGGGAGTCTCTCCTAAAGAATTAGATGCACACAGCATTTTTCCCTTACAGACACTTCACTGAGCAGTCATGTTGGACTTGGGTGGCGTCTGCTATTAGACACACTATTCACCAATAAAACCCTGAAAATTGCATTGCACAGGACTGATAAAAATAAGATGACTTAAGAAACGTATTTATGGTATATATACACAGAAAAAGAATGAAAGTTTGAGGGGGTATTGCCTCTGGGAGGAAGAGTTATGAGTAGTTTGTATTTCCTTTTTTGTTAATCTGTATTTCATTTTTTAGGCAATGCAAATATATTATTTAGACAACAAAATACTTATTAGAAAGAAAAGACATGGTGGGTTTTTTCCCCTTTATTCTTTGCTTTTCTAAGAGGAAACTTTGACTGCAATTGCTTGTGAGTGATACCTGTGTTCTGGTAGCTTAGGAAGACACAATGTGGTTAGGGAAGGATAAGAACAGATGGCTTTAATAAATGTACTCAAGGCTAATGTACCCTTCATAGTCTCAGGCTTCAGATCAGATCTCTTATCTATGCTGGCACCAGGATGTGGTTTTGAGTTCTCTGCTTTTTCTACAGCTTTAGGGAAATCTGCATGCAGGCACATCTAATTGTCCAAACCAAAAATCACATCCAGGATGTGAGGCAGCCTGGGAGAGGTCATTTTGAGTTCTGTAGTCTCCGAAGTATAAAAACACATAAACATGTATACATACACACATTAACACCCACACACTTTTGAAGGAAGATGGAATGGAAGACAAGCACCACAGTGAAACTTTAGAAGAATTTCCCTTACATTCAGGAAAAAAAGATAGAGGGTCCATTTTCATCACTCTTATTGCCATTGTCTAGAAGATAAGCCGTAATAAGATAAAATAAAAAGTGTATAGAACACTTGGAAAAAAATATAAAAGATTGGTCCCATTCTCCGATGGCATGATATTCAAATGAAGAACCAACTATAAACAGGTTGTTATGAGCTGAATGTTAATGTGACCCCAAAATTCATATGCTGAAATCTTAACCCCAAAGGTGATAGTGTTAGATGGTGAGGCTTTTAGGAGTTGACACAGTGTAATGCCTCTTCTATGAAGAAGTGGGCCTTTGTCAGTTACCAAATCTGCAGAGGCCTTGATCTTGAACTTCCCAGCCTCCAGAGCTTGGAGGAATGAATGTTTATTGTTTGTAAACCACCCAGTTTATGGTATTTTATTAGAGCTGCTCAAAGGGTCTAAGACACAAGTATAAGTCATAAGTAAATGCATCAAATTTGCTGAATATAAATCAACATATAAAAAATCAACAGCATGCTTGGATCCCTGGTATGAATCACATCTGGTCATGGCAAATAATCTAAAAAAAAATAATAAAATAATCAATTTAAAAAATTTAAAAAGCAACAGTATTTACTATTCATTGCCAATGACCAATTAGAAAATGGCATAAACATGACATCTGTGATAAGACAAATACTCTAAGGTAACTAGAACTACAAGTAATAAAAGATGTGTACAGTTTACAGAGACGATTGTAGAAAGCCAAAAAAAATTAAAAGTGAAAACCTAAATGGGAAGAAGCATCATGTATATTGGGTCATAGTAGATATCATAATATAAATTATAAAATACAGAACAAAATGATATAAAATACTAAATTTCAAAATGTGTTGGATATAGCTAAAGCAGCACTAAAGAGGAATTTATAGGTTTAAATACACGTATTGGGGGAGGAAAGAGATAAAGTTTGATATGGCGGTAAGCATCCACTTAGGGAAAAGTACAAAAAGAAAATAATAGTAGAAAGTAATAAAATAGAAAATATAAAAGAGGTTTTTTAAAAAATACTTACAAAATGGACAGTCTTTATGGGGATTGAACAAGAACAAAGAAAGAAGGCACTGATAACCAATGTCAAGGATATGGAAGTGGATATGTGGATATAACTAAAATGCTGCAGTTATTCGAGATAAGAGTATTATAAGTAACTGTAAGATAACACATTTAAAAACTTGGTCGAAATGGTCAAATTTGTAGAAAAGTATATCTCAACAAAACTGATTCAAGAAAAATAACCCATTAAAAAATAAATCAGCAGTTACCTTTTATTTATTTATTTTTGACAAGAAAATATCAAATGGTTTTACTGGCAAGATCTGCCAAATATTCAAGAAACAAGTAATTTCAATTTTGGACAGAATTTTCCAGAGAAGAGAAAATGGGAAGAGGGTTGTTCCTCATTTTATGAAGCTAGTATACACATCAGTGCCAACATTTGACAAGGGAAGTTTGAAAAAGGAAAATCACCGACTAATCTCTCCCATGAGCAGAGACTTAAAAAATTCTAAACAAAATATTTGCCAACCAAATCCGAATATAGAAAGGATTGTACACCATGATCAAGTTGAGCTCATCCTAGGAATGTTTCCTTTATGGTAACATTCGGGAAAGCAAAATACATGGGTGCACATGCAAGAGGTAGGAGATTGAGACTGGGAGTCTGTAGAACTTCTGATTTCATCCATTTTTTGCAAGTGAATTAGATTTTCTTTAAAAAGGTTATTGGGTGAAGGCGCAGATAGAGGAGCAGGTCTTGGAGATTTAAGGGGAAAGGAAGTATGATACAGTCTTCTAGAAGACTGGAAGAGTAAATGGAATATAGCGTGATTGCATTGGGGCTCCTCTGAGCTTTATGGGCATGAATTTAAAGATTATTTGAGGCCCTGGTTTGTGCAGTAAGAAAAATTTTGTTTAGGGATTAGGAAGGAAGAAATAAAACTAAAAATCTCCCATTATTCACAGATGACATGATGATTCTTATAGAAAACCCAAAAGATATTACTACATCAATATAGAAAACTCAATTACATTTCTTTATTTTTCTTTTTCTTTTCTTTTTTTTTTTTTTTTGCTTTAAGTTCTAGGATACATGTGCAGAACGTGCGGGTTTGTTACATAGGTATACATGTGCCACGGTGGTTTCCTGCACCTATCAACCCGTCATCTAGGTTTTAAGCCCAGAATGCATTAGGTATTTGTCCTAAAACTCTCCCTCCCCTTCCCCTACTCCCCCCAACAGGCCCTGGTATGTGATGTTACCCTCCCTGTGTCCCTGTGTTCTCAATGTTCAACTCCTACTTATGAGTGAGAACATGCGGTGTTTGGTTTTCTGTTTCTGTGTTAGTTTGCTGAGGATGATGGTTTCCAGCTTCAGCCATGTCGCTGCAAAGGACATTAACTCATTCGTTTTTCTGGCTGCATAGTATTCCATGGTGTGTAGGCGCCACGTTTTCTTTATCCAGTCTGTCATTGATGGGCATTTGGGTTGGTTCCAAGTCTTTGCTATTGCAAATAGTGCTGCAATAAACATATGTGTGCATGTGTCTTTATAGAATGATTTATAATGCTTTGGGTATATACCCAGTAATGGGATTGCTGGGTCAAATGGTATTTCTGGTTCTAGATCCTTGAGGAATCACCACACTTTCTTCCATAATGGTTGAACGAATTTACACTCCCACCAACCATGTAAAAGCATTCCTATTTCTCCATGTCCTCACCAGCATCTGTTGTTTCCAGACTTTTAAATGATCATCATTCTTACTGGCATGATATGGTATCTCATTGTGATTTTGATTTGCATTCCTCTAATGGCCAGTGATGAGTTTTTCTTATGTTTTCTGGCCGCATAAATGTCTTCTTTTGAGAAGTGTCTGTTCATATCATTCACCCACTTTTTAATGGTTTTTTTCTTGTAAATTTAAGTTCCTTGTAGATTCTGGATATTAGACCTTTGTCAGATGGATAGATCGCAAAAATTTTCTCCAATTCTGTAGGTTGCGTGTTCACTCTGATGATAGTTTCTTTTGCTGCGCAGAAGCTCTTCAGTTTAATTAGATCCCATGTGCCAATTTTGGCATTTTTTGAAAATGCTTTTGGTGTTTTAGTCATGAAGTCTTTGCCCATGCCTATGTCCTGAATGGTATTGCCTAGGTTTTCTTCTAGGGTTTTTATGGTTTTAGGTTTTATGTTTAAGTGTAAGGAGGGATACATTTAAGCCAAAAAGGACAGTCTACATCTCTGCTTATTGTCCCAAGGCAGCAGAAATACAATTCATAGATCCCAACACTTAGCCTTCCCCACCCTAGTCACACAGCATCCCTCAGCCTGCCAAGGGAATTGGTTCTGCAGACACGAGGGATTTGCCCGGGGATAAAGACCCCTTCTGGTTCAGACATCAGGAGATACAAATGCAATACACCACAGCTGACACAACTGGACATCTTCAGTGTTGCAGTCTCACCCTATCTCTCTGCTTGCCAGCTCCAGCTCATCGGGCCAGTTATGAGAAGGAAAACATATTTTCTAAAAGCTTTCTTAAGTGTTCACATGGCCAGCTGCCCTTGTTTGTTCTCCTGAGTACTGAGGTCACTGGAAGCCACAAAACCCAGCTGGGACCACTTCAATGAGTTATGCTCCAGGGAAAATTATGGTGTGAAAAGGTAAAAGGAAATTTTGGAAACTGGTGGAATCTTCATGGAAGTGTCACCCTGGGCTAATACCAAGGATCTGACATAGACAAAAGTATGAATTACTCTGCAGGCTCAGCGCCAAGGGCAAGGTCGTAAGAGCCTGAGATGGTCTTAACAAATTAAGTGAGGCAGGCAAAGTTCAGTTGCTTACTGTGAGCTGGACCCTTCTACATTATTATTTTTATCATGGAGTCCAATGTCCCCATGTTGATCCTAACAAGCCAAGTCCCACATTGCATCATCCCACATGGGCCGGCCTTCTCTGGGCAAAACTTCAAGATGTGAAACTCCTTTTTTCTCCTCTCAAAATGTGCCAGTCCTGAGTCTCCTGTATTGGGTTCATTAATGTTAACATACTTTTTCTGGTCTGCTACAATGATCCAGGCACTGCACTATAGTCCAAAGGCACAAAACAATAAATTAGACTTGCCCCTTGTTCTCAGGACTGAAAATGGTTCCATTCACCAAAAAAACAGGTGAAAGTTTACCCAGCACCTAAACCTGTACTAATGTATTAATTAATGCATCACAGTTTATTTATTCTACACTTATTTTACTTGCCCCTGTAATATACCACTAGATGCTTCAGTATGGGAGATATTGAACTCTAAAGTTCTAAGGGTGCTGTGGTGGAGATATGGACATATCTCAAAATTAGCAGGAAATTTAAATAGCGATTTTAAGAGAAAGTAAGATCTGGTTATGAGAAAGGATGAAGCTACTCTGGGTGAGAGAAAACTGAGAACTATGCCCTAGGAATATCCAACATTTAAAGTGTAAACAAAGAAAGTAAAGACAGAGATGACAACTGAGAAAGAGTGGTAGTCACAGGAGACTCAAGTGAGTGTAGCTGGAAGATGTCATCAGAACCCTAGTTAATAACATGTGGTCTACCATTGCTACAATACAATGCCCTCCAGCCATCTCAGGCAGGTGGGCCTTTACTTTCCTCAAATTACATTCACAGATGAACAACCCATGCTCTATGAAGGAGTCGGGCCTGCATACTATCCTTCCCAATGAGGGAGATGTGACAGTTCAGGATTCAGGAAAGGACCAAATGGACTCACCAGGCAAGTGTGCTTTAGGATGGAGGGCAGGGTTGGCTCTGTGCCAGGAGTGTAGATTTCATCTGTTGGCTGCAAATGTGTGCCAGTTCCCAATGGAATGCTACTGTTCTCTGACCTGCCCTCAACTCATAACACAAGTCACAATTCACTGGAGTTTCACAGTACGTTTCTGTGGATGTTTGGAATCAGAAATGCAGACTCACAGAATAGCTGTATAGGATTTAAAGAGAATCGGCAGAGTTCAGGCTGCTCATTTTACAGAGGAGGAGGCTGAGTCTGAAGACTTACTAATTTGGCCAGGGTTGCATGGCAGTTTAGCAGAGTAGTTAAACAAATGGGCTTGAAACTCAAAGAGTCCCTGAGAATCTTAAATTGTGTGCCTTAGGCAAGTCTGCTAAAACTGCTATGTCTCAGTTAACTCCTCTTAAAACTGAGTAAGAATAACATATATATATATATATCATATATTATGATACATGATATATACATAATTCATGTATTATATCATGATACATGATATATATGTATTATTCATGTATATGATACATGATACATATATCATGTAACCTATGATATATATCATATATGAAGATTATATATATATCTCAGAGGTTATTTGTAAGAGATGAGATAGTGAATTCAAAGCACTTAGCATGACAGCTAGCATATGGTGACACAGCTATCATGCAAAGCCAAGTCTTCTGACTCGTACTTTAGTGCTCTTTCCTCTGAACCATGATCCCTCCTTTAAATAGAGAAGTTAAAAATGAACTTACAGAGACATTCTATGTGTACCAACCCAACACTATAGCACTTGATTTATGCATTCATTTTTATAACAACTATCATTTGAGCATCTATGTACCAGGGTGCTGATGTAACCATGCTGAGTGCTGAGGTACTCATGCTGAATCAGATGTGATCTCTTCCCACTAAGGAGAGAGAAGATTGTGCCTATGGTAGCCAGGAATGAGGTGCACTTGCAAGGAGTAGGGAGGAGTGGGGAGAGTCTAGAGGCAAGGAGATGAGATAGAAAGTTCTTGCCCTAATTTAGGCAAGAGGCAGCAGGGTCCTGAATTACCTTGGAGAAAATGGAAATTAGGGGAAAGGACAAAGAAATGAGGTAGGAACATGAGACTTACCCTTGACACATGATTATTATGTTTATGAAATATTTGTTTTTGTGTTTCTGACAAGCAATTTGCCTCCAGAATTGCCAAATGAGTCTGGTTGTTACTCCAGACTCAAGGTAACATCTGCTTATTGCTAGTGCATAGACCAGGGCAGGTGATGGGCTTTAGGCCTCTTATCTAGCGTCTTACACAAAATTGCAAGTAGACCCAGAATTACTAGTGCCAGGGCTGCAGAAATAGGAACTGTTTAGCCAGGTCTATGACCATCTGTTTTCCCTCCTGCCAAATGCATCGAGGGCATGATAGATCTGGCTTAGATGGTAACAAAGTGAGAGCAGAGTTGAGCAAATAGACAAATGTTTATCTTTTGCAGGAATGTGCACTTGGCTCTGGGGATTGTAGCTGTCCATCAGCATCCACACTGGATGAAACTGCTGAAGGAAGGGGCTCCGAAAACACCCACTTTCCTCAGCCTCTGCGGCCTTAACTCCATGTGCCAGCAGGTCAGGCTAACAGGCTGTGGTGCTAAAGGCATCAGGCAGACATATCTACTGGCCCATTAAGATTCTGTACCTAAACACTACCCACCCCGCCCACCCTGCCCCAGTGATGGCCCTGCCTTTCCTGCCAGGCCTGCTCTCCTCCCCAAGAAAGGGAAAATGGTTAGCAACTTTCAGAAACTAAAACAAACACAAAAGTTTGCCAACATTAAACTCTGCTTCACAGCTAAATGGACCATAAACTTTCAGCACCTTGAACAAAACTTCAATTCAATCCCTTCTACAGGTGCTGTGGGCACAAAGACTGCACAGTGTATTTTTGCCCTGGGAAAGAGTCTCAAATTATTATTTTTGTAAAAAAAAAAAAAAAAAGAAAAGAAAAAGTTGCCTGGAAAAAAGTTTCATTTTGTGCTTAGAAAAACAAGCCAAGAGGCAACGCACACCCCCTTTCTCTCCATTCTCACTTCCCTGCACTCTCACGAGAAGATTCCAGCCCACCTTGAAACCCAGCATGGATACTAGAGAAGACATCTTTTTCTCCAGTTTTCAAATAAGCCTCCAGGATGAGGCACACGCAGACCTTTCCTGCTAGCCTGTAATTCACCACCTTCTAAAAGGACCAGGTCATGATACAAATGAAAGCAATGAAAAGCACAGGCCTGCATGCCCAAGGTCTGAGTCTTGCTCCCTGTCATCTTCGGTGTGACCTTAGCGTGTCACTTGACCTCTCAGGTCTCACATTTAGCATCCAGACAACTCAGGACTTAAGTTCTCTTACAGCTCTAAAATTCTGTATGGGAATGACATCAATAAAGTAATATAATTTTTTGTTCAAACCAGCAAAGATGTGCAAATACAAGGGGTAGTGAATAGCAATTATGCCTGGCATCCAGCAGAACTGTGCTGGGAACCAAGACCTGTGGTTCTGAGGGCTGTCCAGAGAGCGCCACGGCCATTCGCGTGCTAAACCTTTGCAACCTGAGCCCAGTAACAGGAACACAGAACATTCTCCAGGAGTCTGGGGCCTTGCCTCCATTCTCCAGCTGCTCCTCTCCCATTGTTTTCCCTCTCTACACGACTGCCCTTTCTTGGGCTCCCCATGCTCTAAGTTAAGTTGGCAGCATGGCAGAGATTGAGAGCACAGATTCTGGTCTCAGACTGCATGGGCTCAAATTACAGCTTCATAATTTACCACATGATCTTGGGCAAGTTACTTAAACTCAAAGATAGACTTTTCAAACATTTTTTCACTGCAATCCACAGTAAGAAATATATTTAACATAAATAATACTCTACGTGTGTGCACACACACACACATACTCACATAAATTAAAAGATTAATAAAAAATAATTATTTTTGATATTTTGTGAGCACCATTTGATTGGTCCTATTCTATGTAAATTTCTATAAATGCTAGTCATAATCCAGCAAATTGATTTCATGGTCTACTAATGGTTTCAGACCCACAATTTGAAAAACCCTGTTCTAAGCTTTAGTTTTCTCATCTGTAAAATGAAGATAATATAAATAATATCCTCTCTGTGGAGTTGTTATGAAGATGACTAAAATGTTCATATAAAAGCGTTTGGCCACAGTGCAGGGTGGCTCACGCCTGTAATCCCAGCACTTCGGGAAGTCAAGGCAGGCAGATCACATGAGGCCAGTAGCTCAAGACCAGCCTAGTCAACATGTTGAAACCCTGTCTCTACAAAAAGTACAAAAATTAGCCCAGCATGGTGGTGCACACCTGTAGTCCCAGCTACTCAGGAGGCTGAGGCAGGAGAATCACTTGAACCCGGGAGGTGGAGGTTGCAGTGAGCCAAGATGGCACCACTGCATTCCATCCTGGGCAACAGAGTGAGACTCTGTGTCAAAAACAAACAAACAAACAAACAAAAGGTTTAGCTTGGAAGGTAATAAGTGCTCAGTGAATATTAGTGTTATTATTACTCAAGGAAGGGCATCAGTGTGAAATAAATCTTATACTTCAAGTCCAAAAGGGAAGCTCCCAGTAATCATGCCCTTCATGAACCTGTACATGAATCAAATGGCTTTTCCCATTGGGCATGCATGCCATGCCATCAAGCAAGTCAGAATTTAAGCTTCTGTGCAGGTCAGTGAAGACATGGTGCTTGCCACTGCAGCAGCAGCCATCTTGCACACATGAGGTGCCACACCTGAGGAAGGAAGAACAAAGCAATGGAAAGACCAGTGTTTTGGTATTACTGAGTTGCTGAACCAATCCTGGAACTGGATCTCAGGCTTTTTATTTAAATCAATAAAATCTCCTGATGTTTAAAAGGCAATTTTATGCAAACCAGCTCATTACCTCCTACAGTGTCCCTTCCCTCACCAACAGGAAGTGGCTCCACATTTCAATTGCCTTTTTGCCCTTGAGAATCAGCATTCCCTAAACCACCACTATTAAATTTGGGACTCTGAAACCACAGAAATACCCTACAGTAGGAAATCCCCCTTGGGTGCCTAGACTCTCTATCACCTTTGCAAAGCTTTTAAGTAAAAAAGGAAAACCTCAGGCTTCCCACTTAGCCATGGAAAGTGGTACCACCTTCAGAGGAAAGATGGGGGATTCAGGAGCACCACCTCCAATTTTAGGAGGTGCCCCTGATTTCCTCAAATACTGACAGGTAATTTAACCTAAACAATGGAGAGGAGCCCTGCTTCAAGATGCAGTGCTAGGCTCACCCTGACCAGCACTTGGTAGATAAGAAAGAGAAAACAACTTACAAATTCTTCAGTGATGCTTGGCTCAGTACTTAGCTCGCTGGCTGGCTGACTTTGCAACTACTTCTAGTTAAGGGTTCCAAAGGACTGGAAGGTAAATAACCAGCAAGGTGTCGTAACACTGAGACAGAGTGAAATATTATTTCCACCCTCTCGTGACCTCGGTGGCCATTTTCCAGCTCTAGGGCCAGTCTGCACATGACGATGAGTGGTATCTGATGGCTGGTCCTGGCATGAAGTGTGAGGGAATGCCAGTTTAGGACTTGAACCTTCCATCTCCCACTGATTCCAGTCAGAGTAATCCAAACCTAGTCTGTCTTTTCTTTCCCTTATGCTGCAAACTTTCCCCTGTTTTAGTCAAAATACACCAGCTTAGTAATTCTGGCTGCCACAGACTGAATTTTGAGCCTCACCAGTTTCCAAATAATTAAGACAGAGAAAGTGAGTTAAATAAAATATGGCCAGATTAAATAAACAATTCGGTACTTTAGGAGAAGAATTCAGGCTGGGTCTAAGATAGGCGCCTAGCGCAGGGCTCTGCAGCAGACATAAGGAAGTCTTAAGTTGGTTTTCAATAGGTGTACCTAAGGGTGCATTTGATAACAACAACAAAAAGAGAGATGGAAGCAAATATTTAACAAGCACCTATTATCTATCAGGCACTACATATACATTCTCTCATTTTCTTCTTACAAAGTACACGTATCCTAGCAATTATTTCCATTTTAAAAAACTGAAAATGAAAAATTACTTGCTCAAGATCATAAAGCAAGTAAACATTAGAATTAGGATTTAACCCTAGGCCCTTCTTGTGCAGGAGTCATGCTCTTTCAAGCACACTGTGCTGTCCCCCGGGAAGAGTGAGGGTTATCAGGAAAAGCAGTGGAATGGCAGAAAAGAAGAAGGGGAAGGATTTTAAAACAGGGAAAAGAAAGGACAGAAATACATAAAAATAAGAAATGGGAACAGGAAGGACTGCAAAGATTAAGGAAGAACGGTTGGTGAGTACCTTGGCTATTTAGTGGAATTTGGTGATTCAGAACTGGGAATGGACAGTAAGCCCCTTCAAATACCCTGGGGAAGCCAAGATTGTCATGGAGCTGTTCTTTTCTCTATCTCAAGTACAAATGTCTCAAAGAACTCTAAAAGCTACTTAAAGCAAGAGCAAGGAACTCAAACTAAGTTCTTATTGAGTGGTGGCCAAAAAACAAGCTGGACGAGTTTCCAGATGATACTGCCGGGATGATTCTTTTAGCTGACAGTTACCAAAAAGGAAGGCTTTCAGGACATGTCAATAGCAGATCTTACGCCTTCTCTGACCTCGGCCTTCCTCAGAGTCTTTTAGCTGTAATGAGCAAATATTAGCATAAGAGACAGGGACCAAATATTTGTTTAGTGTCTGTGTTGATTATTAAGCTGTTGCCTGTAAACTCCACACTCACCCTTCATTCTCAGCTTTGTGTTGCTGGGGCTGGGCCTCTGTAATCACATTTCAGCTTTGCCAGAGGGATTTCTCTTAGGCTGCCAGTAGTGGGGCACTAGAGGGAGTCTGGAGGCAGTGGGGAAGAAGGGATTTGTTCCTTCTGTTTTTTTGCTGGTCCTGTCAGTATCATCCCAGCAGCCCTTAGCTCCAGTTTGCAGTTATTTTCCTCACTACAAGAACACACTCCCTCAGTGATAGCGTCTGTCAACCAGAACCTCCTCCCCAGATATTGAGTCCCTGTTTTGAGGGTCCCTGCTCTGAGTCTCCAACGCACCTGCCTCCACCAGGCAGCACCCCTCCCTCCTGGTCCAGTTTCCAGCTCTGCAGGGCCCTCCTCCAAGCTTCCAGATCCCAGGCACCTGACGCATCCCTTTTGTTCTCTCAGCCCTAGGGGTAGCGATTGCTTCCTGCAGTTGCTAGCTCCGTGACCCTCCAGTGGTCCTCCTCCTCACTTTCAGTGCTTCAATTCCTTATATTAAGTATTCTTTATTAGGAAAACTGATGGGTGTCTGTTTTCTGGACTGGCCTTTACCTGATTTGTTATCACTTCTGTCTACGTCCAGGACAATATTGAGCAATATTCTGAGGCTATACTGTGTTAAAAGGAAACTTCAGACAAATTAAATTTAACAGAGTTTAACTGAGCAAGAAAAAAAAATTCATAAATTGGGCAGCCTCCAGAATCACAACAGATTCAGAGAGAGTCCAGGGATGCCTTATGGTCAGAACAAATTTATAGACAACAAAAGGGAAGTGACGTGCAGAAATCAGAAGTGAGGTACAGAAACAGCTGGACTGATTACAGCTCAACATTTGCCTTTTTTGAACAAATCTGAACACTCAGCAGTGTATGAGTGGTTGACGTATGGCTGCTGTGATTGGCCAGACCTCAGCTATTGTTACAGGCACATACTCTTAAGTCAGGTTTTCAATCCTATCTGACTATAAAGTTAGGTTACAGTTTGTCCTCATGGACTCAAATTTAGAAGTATGGCGTCCTTCTCAGGCCATATTTAGTTCAGTTTAACAAGTGCATATGGCTTCTGACAAAGGTGTGGCCCCTTTAGGACTCCAAAGACGCTGTCACTTACATGGTATTCAGGGAGGACACAGAGGATCTGTGAGCAGCCTGCAGCCAAGCTTTGAGATCATATTGAGATTTTTTTGTAATATATGAGGAGTGTTCTGGCTCCTTTTATTACTTTCTTCATAGCAAAAATTGGGGGTCCAAGTTGTCGTTAAATTGAAACTCTCTCACTTACCCTGAAAAAGATTTGACTGTGAGCATAACATTGTTACTTCATTCAAGACATGGAAGCAAAAGGGTTAATTAGTGCTGCTCACAAAATAGTTCTACTTTTTCTTCTTCCAATTATATGATTGGATAACCCTTCCCTCCCTTGAAGTCAGGGTTGCCATGTGGCTTACTTTGGTCAATAGAATATGATTGAGAGCAATACTGTGGTACATCCATACAGTGGAATATTATCCAGTGATAAAAAAAAAAAAAAAAAGGAAAGAAAGAAAGCCACAAAAAGACATGGAAGAGAGCCAAGCGCAGCGGCTCATGCATGTAATCCCAGCACTTTGCGAGGCTGAAGTGAGTGGATCACTTGAGCTCAGGAGTTCAAGACCAGCCTGAGCAACATGGCAAAACCCCATCTCTAAAAAAAAATACAAAAAAATTTTAGCTCAGTGTGACTCTGTGTGCCTGTAGTCCCAGCTACTGGGGAGGCTAAGGTGGAAGGATCACTTGAGCTCAGGAGGTCAAGGCTGCACAAAGCTGCAATGAGCAGAAATCATGCTTGGGCAACAGAGAGAGACCCTGTCTCAAAATATGTTAATGAGAGAGAACTCTGGGCAAGGGGGTGGAGGGGCAGAGGAGGAGTGTGGGGAAGGGGAAGGAGTGCATACCTGGAAACTCTACTTTCTGCATAATTTTTCTATAAACCTGAAATTGCTCTAAAAAGTAAAGTCTATTTAAAAATAATAAATAAGAAAGAAATATGAATATCACTTGTGTCACTTTTGTGTCAAAGCATTAACGGCCAGCACATGATTTGCCTTGCCACTCCCTTCCTCTTGGTCTGTAGTCCAATGCTCTACCTCTGAGCTATACCCCTTCCTTGCCACTCCCTTCCTAAAGATAAGCCTCCCTCATTGGATTAGAATTCTCCGGAGAGACAGAGACAATAAGATATATATAGAGAGAGATGGAGAGATAGAGATAGGAATTATCACAGGATTATGGAGGCTGAGAAGTCCCGCAATAAGCCATCTATAAGCTAGAGAACCAGGGAAGCCAGTAATATGAGTCAGTCTAAGCCTTAAGGCTTCAAAACCAGAGATGTCAATAGCATAACTTTCACCACAAGACTGAAGGTCACAAGGCTGAATGCCTGAGAAACTGGGGGGTCACTAATCCAAGCCCCAGATTCGAAAGGCTGGATAGAGAACCTGGGGTTCTGATGTCCAAGGGCAGGAGAATAAGGGTGTCCCAGCTCCAGAAGGGAGTGAGCAAATTCACCTTTCCTCTGGCTTTTTGTTCTAGTAGGACCTGAGCCATATGGACGATGCCTGTCCACATTGGGTGAGGCCACATCTTCCTCACTCAGTCCACTGATTCAAATGCCAATCTCTTTTGGAAACACCCTTATAGACATGCCCAGAAGTAATGCTTTATCAGCTATCTGGGTACCACTTAATCTGGTCAAGTTGACACCTAAAATTAATTATCATCACAACTCATTCTGGTTCTGTTAGTGAGAATAATCAAGAATGCATCCCTAGCTCGTCACTTCCAATGAGCCAGTCTTCAGTGGACATGCACCCTGAGTGGAAAAAAAGTAAAAACTGTTTCTATTGTTGTTTTAAACAACTTAGATTCAGAGATTATTTGTTATTGCAGGATAACCTAGCTTATCCTGACTAATACAGAGAGAGGAAGTCCTCCTTTAATCTCCAACAGAAATATTAAACAGCAATCAATCACACAATATTGGTTAAAAAAACAAAGATAATAATCATTGTTATTATTTTCATTATTTCTGGAAATAAATTTAAAACTATTGAAAAAACTTACTTTTAAAATTCTCAACATCACTAATCATCCAGGAAATGCAAATCAAAACCACAATGAGATGTCATCTCACCTCAGTTAAAGTGGCTATTATCAAAAAGACAGAACATAGCAGTTGCTGATGAGGATACAGAGAAGGGGAAGTTCTCCTACACTGTTCATGGGAATGTAGATTAGTATGGAAGTCCATCAGAAAACTAAAAATAGAACTACCATATGATCCAGCAATCCTACTGCTAGGGATGTAACCAAAAGAAAGGCAATCAGCATATAAAAGAGATATCTGCACCTCTTTGTTTATTGCAGCACTATTCACAATAGCCAGATTATAGAATCAACATATGTGCCCATCAACAGATGAATGGACAAAGAAAATGTGGTATATATTCACAATGGAATATTCATTCATAAAAAAATTAAAATCCCATCATTTGAAGCAACATGGATGTAACTGGAGGATATGATGTTAAATGAAATAAGCCATGCACAGAAAGACAAATATCACATGTTCTCACTCATATGTGGGAGCTAAAAAGGCTAAACTTATGGAGGTGGGGAGTAGAATGGTGATTACCAGAGGTTGGGAAGTGTTGAAGTCAGAGAGGAAGAGAACTTGGTTAATGGGTACAAAAATACAGTTAGAAAGAAGGAATAAGTTCTAGTGTTCACAGTAGAACAAACATAATTAATAAGAATTTATAGTATATTTCAAAATAGCTGCAAGAAAAGCATTATAATGTTCCCAACACGAAGAAATGGTAACCGTTTCAGGTGATGGCTATCCCAACTACCCTAATTTTATAATTATACATTATAGGTATGTATCAAAAGATCCCATGTACTCCACAAATATGTACAACTATTATGTATCAATAAAGACAGAAAAAACATTATATATAATTACATAATACAGACATAATGAATATGAATCAACTCTTAGTATATATGAGGAAGAAGTGCTTGAAAAATTTCTGTAATTTTAATCATTAAAAACCTAGTCTCCAGAATTAAATTTTATTCACTTAATCAAGTCTTGTTTCAGGAGAGAGAGACAGATATAAAGAAAGGGTATAGCTACTTGAACAAGGGAGGCAGCATCCAAATGACAGCCTGCATGTTGTTTATTCACACAGAGTAACTGCTGGCCAAAATAATATCTCCCGATGTTCATTTAGTGTTGACAGAAATGGTGAGAATATTCAATACTATCAACTTTCAGCCACTGAATGTGCTTATTTTGAGAGCACTGTTCAAAGAAGTGGATTCTAGCTATAAACACTGCTTTTCCCCCCACTTAAATAGTCTATTGAAGAGGAAAATACCCATACACATTAGTAAAATGAGAAATGAGATAAAAATATTGTTTCCTTACTCTAATGCCGACGAAGAATAATGGTATGATTTAAGGGACCTAAGTAAATAGCATATCCCAGTAATATAATCAGTATTGTGAGCCACCTAACTCTCTCATTCAAAGCCAAGGTGTGGAGATTCTTAAGATCAAAGATAAGTGGTCGGAATTTCTTAAGAGGGCCGACCATGTGGGCAAGGGCTTTGTTGTTCAGACTTCGACCCTTCCCCAGAGCCTGAAGATTTTCTTTAGAAAACAAAGTCAATGCCACGACTGGACCTTTCAACACCACACCCAAATGCTGCAACAGATGATATCACTTTCCAGGGTAAACACAAGCAGTGTATTCTGAGGCCACTGGCCCGACTTCCCAGGTTGACTCATCCTGCCTTCCAGCCTTGAAGGGCAATATCCTTACCAACATGTGATCTGAAGGAGCTCTGAACCCTCCAGTGAGACATCAGCCCATCAGACTCACAGAGAACAGCAGGAAGGCCAAAGACTCAAGATTTATCTATCCTTGAAGTGAGCAAAATTCCTTGGTAAAAGATTATAAAATAAAACAATTGTTTTTCTGATAAAATTTAATTTTTTTCAATGTTTTACTATGTTTATATTTTTAAGTCACTTAAAATTGGTAGTTTATTGATGAACTAAATATCTATTAAGTTATTCAGTGATGCTGATTACAACAGGCCTCCGTTATACGAAGGGAAAACATCCCAGACCCCCCAGTGAATGCCTGAAACTGGATTCTACTGAACCCTGAGATGGTACTAAGTGACTAACGGGTGAATAGCGTGTACAGCATGGATACACTAGACAAAGGGAGGATTCGCATCCCGGGCTGGTCAGCAAGAGGTTTCATCACCCCACTCAAAATGGTGAGCAATTTAATACTAATAAATTGATTATTTCCGGAACCTTTCGTTTAATATTTCCCAACTGCAGCTAACCGTGGGTATCTAAAACCACAGAAAGCAAAACCACAAATAAGGGAAGACTACTTGTATTGGGAAGGTGCTGAGGTAGCTCAGTACTGGTGGCTGCCCGGGTAAAAGAATGTGACATGCAATACTCTTCAATCAAATAGGAATGTGTGGTTGCCATGGTGCCACCACATGGAGGATTGTCTCCCATCTGGGGACCTGGGTTTGCAAATGCTCAGTAAGAGTAAGACTTCCTGTTATTCCTTACAATGGATAAACTTGGACTGGGTCTTCAGAGTGGATGTTTCTCTCTCACCCGAGCAAACACAGACGAGCTCTCTGTTGCCGTGTGAGCCCCTAAAAGCCTTCCTAATAACAAACTGAAGTCAGCTAAGTTCAGGTAGCTAAAATGGTGCATTTGTTATAAAAGCCGTGGCCACAGAATGCAAACTCTTAGAGCCACCCAGCCCAGCTATTTCCTTCAGAATCCAACACTGAGCCAAGCGGTTTTTATTTTATCTTCTCAAACTAGGTAGCACTCCCTCATAGCAGACTCCTGGATAACCTGCAGGTAGCTGGGTGCACCCCTACTTTTGTGGGTGGTTTCCAGACCAGATTTAAAACCAATTACCAGGTGTTATGTAACTGAGGGCACCAGAAAGAGCCTGGCATGAGTGGGGAGGGAGGCATTGAGGAAAAGAGTCACAAGCAAAAGAGGAGAAAACCATGAGAGAAAACAAACAGGAGCCACAGCCAGTGCCAAACTGAAGGAAGGACTGTTTTCCAACAGGATTTACAGACACGAAAAGAAAAAGGAGACGGTTTCTTCACTCCTGTACTTGGTCAGCAAGCATTTCTTAGAGCATGTCATAGATGTAAGATAATTAAATAAATATCTCTGCCTCTAGTGTTTCACAGTCTGGTGGCAGATGGAGGTGTGGCAGTAGTGAGAAGGTCCCATTTTTCTGAAACCCTTTGCTTTTTTGAGACTGATAATTACTCTCTAGTGTAGATGCTGTAGGGATGTGAAAAACATCACACTGATTTGCACCTGGAGGCATCAGGAAGGCTGTAGGTAAGGTAAGCCTTCAAGGATGAATTGATGTGCATCAGACAGAAAAGGGACCAGATTTGGAAAGTCACAGGGGTCTGTGGGAACCTGTGCCGTGTGGGCCCGTAGGGGTGTATACCGTGGGAGCCCACTGGAGAGGGGCAGGATAGAGCCTGAGAAATAAGCAGGGACTCGAGCACATCAGACTGCAAACACCATGCCGGGGACAAACCAGTGTGAGCTGAGAAGCAACATGAGATCTGGGATACAGAACACTCCTTCTGACTGGCCCTGTGGACAGGCACCCTTTAGGGAGCCACTTCATGGGTCTAGATCAAAAAATAAATGAAATGTTTAAATGATGAGGGCCTGAACCAAGGTAGTGGTTATAGGGTTGGACATAAGGAGACAGGTCAGGCGATATTAATAAGTTAAAGTTGGTCACACCTTACTGGCTGATTGAATGTGGGAGTGAGGGAAAAGGGAGAGTCCTGTGTGGTTCATTTCAGCCTTGAACGGTGAGTGGGGGTGCCATTCACTGGGATGGAGAACATAGGGAAATTGTGTTTGGGGAGACTGATCATGAGCTGAGCGTATCAGGGTTGAGGTGCTGTTGGCACCTTCAGGAAGAGATTTCAAGGTCTGGACTAGGGATTTCGATCTGAAAGACATTTGAATCTAAGGCCCTACAAGCAGATGAAATAGAGCAGAATGCCCAGGAAGCAGTAGAAAGCATGCAGAACTTCAGATATTTGAATACTAGTGGACAATGCTTTTCTCAGTCATTGAAAGAAACTCGATCAGTGTCTCAGAGACAGTTTAGACAAAATGGCCAAGGGGTTAAACAAAGAATTCTACACTGAGTTTTTGGATTCTGTCTTTCTGGCTCTGAGCATAAGGAACAGGTCAATGGTCAGTATGCATCTTGAAATCACATATACCCAAAATTAGATCATCAGGTACATTTTTGAAACAATAGTGTCGTTCACTTAGCCCCCTTGCTGTTGCAGGAATGCCTCTGGGCCAGATTCCCTTTGCCATGTGACTTCTCTCTTCTGGCCATTTGCTGTGGCAGGCATCTCATGGCTCCAGAAGCCTCTACCTTCTCTGTCTTCCAAATCCCCTATGTAAGAGAATTGATTCCTTTTCAGGCAGGACCGTATGAACCTGAATCCAGAGAAACGGCTCATCAGTCTCCAATCCTCTGATTTTCTAAACCAGGACTACATTATATTAAAACCAGAAAAAGCAATACCTCTTTTCACAGAATGGACTTTCTGGTGGAAATGGGAGGAACCAAAAGAAGGCTGACTTCTTCATTTTGACACCCTGCCCTGACTGCAGAACGTGATTTCCCTAAAAGACTGAATGTTAACCTCAAAGCCTGGTCAACCAACATGCAGGAGAAATCTTGACCAAGGCTCTGAGCATGCTGTGGTCCCAGTGGTGAGGGTGTGATATGCACTGTCTGTTCCTGGAGTCACAGTGCTCATCTTGTGGTAAAGACCTCTTGGAAGAATGTCTTCAAAGGCACATCTCCAGCTGGGAGTCCTTGTTTCCTGATTTTTTTTTTTAAGTTTATGTTATATGAACAAATGAGACTGCTTTCCCGGCAGGAGTAGCCCTCAGACGCCCACTGTGAGCCTACTTTCTGGAAGAAGCCAACTCAGACAGACCACAGTGTGTGCACAGCATACGTGGCTGCTGGCTGTGGATGAGAAAGTATTCCTGATCTGTCAGAATAATGATTTCAGCGTGTTCTCAGCAGGTCCTCAGTGTGATCCCATGAGGATACCCTCAACCCCTTGCATGACATGTTGTACTTGGAGTCCTTCCCCATTTCAATTTCAGCATCAGTGGGAGGGAAATAGCAAAACAGCATTCCTTCATGTAGATAACCAGTAGGCAGCAGGCTACTCCTGGTTCGTAACATAACTCCACCAGTGTATTCTGGCAGCCGGGCTTACTTAAGGGAGAGCACAGACATTCCCTGCTCAAAAACAAAACTGCTAAACGTGACTCCGGTAGCCTCCATGCTCTCTGCAAGAATAAAATCCTTGAAGAAAAATTGTGATAAGAAGTCTGTCTTTGGAGTCAGCCTGAGCACAATCTTGCATCTCCAGTTACCACCTGGGTGGCTTTATTCACTTAAGAAATACCTGTAGGATACATACTACATGGCAGGCATGCTTCTCAGATGTTAGCTCATCTTGCTAAGCCTCCAGTATCTTCATCTAAACAGTGAGGATAACAGTATGTACCTCCTAGGGCCATCTGAGGAAAAAGTGAGATAGTGTGTATAAAGCTCATAGCACAGGGCTCATAGAGAGGATTTGCAGTTAGTGTTGGCTGTGGCAGGTATTATTCCCTTTACCCCAGCCTATGCCATCCTTGCCACCCCATCAGGAGCTCCTGATGATGCCAGCACCTCTTGCCGAGCCCTCATCTGGGGCAGCGTACACCTTTAACTTTTTATTCCTCTTGGCTTTGATATTCATTGACCTGGAGCTACCCACACCAGGGGGCAGCATAAATAATGGCAGAAGTCACAGTCTCTGCCCTGGCTTCACACCTCCTCTTGGTATCAGCTGTTCACCATGCTCTTCCTACTGACTCTCTGTAGGACCAGCACCAACACCATGTCTTAATCTGATATACATACACACACACACACACACACACACACACACGAGACACTATAAACAGTATATATGCAAAACTATATATATTACTATGTATCTAATAAATGAAACTAAAATATATAATCTGATATTATAGTCTGGTGAATCTTACATATTTATGTATAATTATAAATTGTATATATATATCAGATCATACAGTATAAAATATATGCCATGCACTATATATGTAAACATAGACATAAAATCTATTTATATTCTTTCCTGACCCAAAGCTGAATAGATTTCTCAGGGATGGGAAGAAGAAAGTGACAGCTTTTTTTGTGATATAAAAACTGATACATTATTTTTTAAGAGAGCAAAACATGTACAAAAATTTAAAAAATGAAACTGAATAATGCATTTTCAAACACAAAAATGTAAAAATATGTCACAAAACAAAGTTAAAAATAAGCCTATAAAAAGCATTAACCATACATCATTTTAATATTGACTGATAATGAATTAATCGTAATCATTTTGGCTGGGCGTGGTGGCACATGCCTGTAATCCCAGCAGAAAGTGATAGCTTTGACATAGCTATATTAATACAAAGGCTTTAGCAGACTTTGGCTCTGCCCAGGAAATCTTTCCCAAATAGTTTCCAGTTCAACTGGGGTTGTATTATACTGTGGAAACAAGAATAGCTGATGGTTTTGAAAACAGCTACTACATTTCCTGATCTACTTCAAATTGTCCCACCCACTGGTCGTGGTACTGAAGTGTGTCTGGATACGAAGGTAGCAATGATGCCTGTGAACCAAAGGGTGGGCCACACTTCACACTAGTCCAGACCAGCCTTCTTCCAAATTTCACCTATCTCCAGAATGGGGCTACTTAACTTCTACTTCAGAGTGCAGGTCTCCCCAAATGCCTGGATGAAATCTTGACCCTAATGAGAAAACTTCAGAGCTCTGGTTCAGAGGTTCTGATGTGAATATCAAATCACATTTACTGTCAATTTTATTCTTTCTATTCACTAGGCAAATATTGATAGCACTCTTGCTATGCACCAGGTGATGTTCTTAGCACTGGATTTTTTACCATAGTTCTAGTTACCTGATCCAAGTATCTGGGACTTATTTCACCAAGACTGAATTCTGCCTTAATATTCTAGCCAAACTCCAGCTCCTTCAAGACTTCTCAATCTTCCCTTTTCATGATGAACCACAGTCCCTGGCTGGGACTCAAGTTGCATCTTTCAGCCCTCTACCACCATCACCAGCTGCACTACAGTGTCCAGTATTTTCCTGTGTGCCCGTGGTCCCCATTCCAAGCTTCCTCCCATGTGCAGGGACACAGGTTACCCATTGCTGGACTGCTCCACATTTAATTACCTAGACAGAGAGCTTGCACATAGAAAGTGTTCTATAAATGTTATTTATTCCATCTAAACTTCCCACTAGCAAAGTAACCACAAAGACAGGAACTTGCCTTAGTTGTTCAGATGTGGCCCTATCATGAGATCTATGGTTAGCCCATAGTAGCCAATGAAAAAGAATGGCTTTTGAGTGAATGAATCACTGAAGATTCATTCTAGCCTTTATTTCAAGAAGATGTGGGAATGTAATCCTTTGCTGTTCAGCAAAAATGCTAAACTAGAACCAGGAACTACAGACTTGGAGTGCCTCTTTTTATTTAAGAGACTCTTGGGAGACACCACCTTATGTACCCCCACAAGCTAGATGTTCTTCCTATTCCAAATAAACTACAAGGATGAATACTGTACCATCTTACTCAAAGCCAAAACAGCCCTGGAAATATGTTTTCCAGTCTAGTTAATCAGAAAAAGGAAGGGTGTACATAGTCATGTGGAGTGTTTCAAGCAGATAATTACTCTTCTATGCATTTTCTCAATGCCAACGTGTACCAAAATGACAGTTATTTCCTTTGCCCAGAAACTCCAGTTCTGAAATATTTCACATAACAGAGCATTCCTCCCCATCTCATCTCTCCCTACCAACTGTCTGAAGTTCTTTGACAATGAGATCTTAGCTGGAGCCTTGCAATGGAAGAGTGCTTGTTCACTGATATATCAATTTGGTTACTTTGAAGACATTTAAATAGAAATTTTGATGTACCAGATATTTCTCTACAGAATTAAGAGAAAGTTGAGAAAAGTTTCAATATGATAGGGAATAATGGAGTAGACTGGTTTTTATAGATAAGCCTAATCCTTCTTCATCCATATGTAATTCCCAGTTCATTACCTTCCCAGGCTCATCAACCTGCGTTCTACCAGTAAATGCATGCACTGAGGAGCTTAACTATCTGTCTGCCTTGGGTATGAATTGGCCACAGATACACGGGAATACGTATGATGTAAAGACAATGCTGAATTACCATGATATTCATATAGCAGACATGTTCACAGGTATTAGTAAGAAGGTAATAAAAAATAGAAGATAGTTTATTATGTTCCAAGAAGGGTGCTAGATAATTTATATATAATAGTCTTATCTCACTTACATTTTAATCATATAAAGGTGGCATTCCTATTTTAGAAATTAGAAATTGAAAAGGGCTCAGAAAAAAAAGTTCCCTGTTTAATATCCCACAGGATTTGAGCTTTAGGATCTTTGCTTTGAAGAAAGGAAATTTGTGATACTAGTAGATTAATTTCTACTTCCACTGTACCCATAAAGGCATGATAGCAAGAGTGAATTGTGCTTTAATTTTTTGTCTTTATGTCTACTCCATAACCAGGTTTATCCCCTTTCCTGCTTTATTTTTCTTCATAGCACTGAGTCAGTTGGGGTTAAACCAGAGAACCAGAACCAATAAAGGATGACATGAAGTTTGCTGCAAGAGATTGGCTTAGGCAATTGTGGCAGCTGCATAAATAAGTCCAAAATCCATAGGTCAGGCCAACCATAAGGGCAGGCTGGAACTCCTGGGCATGGGCTGAATCTGTTGTCTTACACATGAATTTCTCCTCTAAGAGGAGCCTCAGTCCTGCTTTTAAGGCCTTTCAAGCTGACTGAATCAGACTCACTCAGATTCTCCAGGATAATCTCTCTTAAAATCAAGTGATCATGGACTTAAATTACATCTATAAAATACCTTCACAGCAACATCTAGATTTGTGTTGGATTGGATAATTAAAGGCTATAGTCTGTTCAAATTGACACATCAGAAAGACCACCATAACCTGATATATCTTACTCATTTATATTTATTGTTTATCATTTCTCTTCCCACACTAGAATGTAAGCTCTATGAGAAAATCAACTTTTTGGGTTTTGTTTACTGCTGTATTCCTCAGCAGCTAGAACACCATCTGGCATGTGGTAAGCAGCTGATAACTGTGAAATGAATAAAGAATTGAATAAATGAACAGCTTTCTTGCCAGGAAGGGCCTCCCCTCTCCATATTGGGTCAAACACCCAGCACAATTCCCAGAACAGAACAGGTAGTCAGAATTGTTTTCAATTAATTAAAACCAGCTGGTGACCCACATGCTTTCTATAGAATTCCACATCTCAGGAATGGCTGGTGTGGTGGAGACAATGGGCATAGAGGGCCAGTTTTACTCACCTGATATTACCAAGGTGAAGAGGAAAGGCTGTGGGCACCATCAACACCCCTGCTGGGGATTGTGGGAACTTGGGATAGGAAGAGATGCAAACACCATTGGCAGTTGTTTGGAGTGATTTCAGGAACAGTTCAATATAGCATTGGCTGAAAGGAAGTGGGAAAGATCACAGAGTGTGTGCCGCTTCTGCTTCTGTTTCTGGGTGACTGCATAACAGGAAAGTAACTGTCTTGCACAATCAACCCAGATGATCCAGAAACAACGGGAAAAATGTTCATGAGCCCCTGAGGTGAAGCAAGCTTCATTTTCTATGACCCCTGAAGGAAATGGGCATCTGATATAATTGGGTTCTTTCTTTTGGAGGCCCAAGGCTGTGAGACTCCTTTTCCTAACCGCGGTGGGGTATTTTGATTTACAGCTGGGATGATAATTACATGTACCATTCTTTTAACATGGAACATGGTTCCTCCTTTTTACCCTTAAAGAAGTAAAAGTTTTCCTACCAAATCTGTCATTACCAAGTGGTATTTTCTTCTTCCCAATACATGCTTCTTCCCAAGGCCTACCAGTCTGCCAACTCAGCAGACGTATGGAAATGTGGGTGTGGGTGTGCACCCACTCACACACACATACTTATAGGTAATTATAGAAAAGTAACAAGAATAGAGATGAAAACAAGAACAATCAAGGGATAAAATGCTTATTCAATGCATAATGTTTGCTCTGGACTATAAGGAAATTACACTCGGAAAACTGAAATATATGTAGACATGAGGCTATAAATTTGGGGCTCAAAGGGAAAAGCAGGTATAAGATGGGGTCAGTGGACTAAAGAATCAGTGAACAGAAATATATGACCTTTGAGTCAGCCTATAAATTTCCCTCCTCATAAAACTCAATGAAGGAAGTAGAACCAGAGCCAGAACTTCAGGAGGAGATATGGTTAGCACCTAACACAGTAGCCACCAAATAAAAGCATGCTGAAGACGAAGTCACAGAAACACTTGTTAAAACAGATAGAGATAGTCTTCCAAAGGCTAGCACATTCAGATTGAATGGTTTCTAAATGCAGACCAGATGATATTTTTCAAGAAATGTAGGTTTCTCGGCTTAATATCTGAGCTCCCACCATCCGTTAATTCCATAATTCTTTCTCAGACTTCTCTACTGACTGGTATTAGGTTGGTGCAAAAATAATTTTGCCATTAAAAGTGATGGCAAAAACCGCAATTACTTTTACACCCATCTAGTATTTGCAGCAGGCAGAAGCTAAGGATGCTCACCTTGCCCCATCCCTCCCCCAAATGAGTCATGATCATCCAAGATTGCACTCCAAAATCTGGGAAACACTTTAATGAGGCACTGAACTGATTAATAAGGAGTGTTTAGATTTTTCCCATAGATATTTACAACAGAATACTAACTAGGCTGCACCTTGAGACTCAAGGACCAATAGAGGCTGGTTTCTGGACATATCCCAGGAATAGAGTAGCTCTTAAAACTAATGATTCAATTAACTTAAATATGAATTGAGCATAAGGCTATAACTGAAAAATCTGTATTAGTAGAGGATGGCAGCAATATTAATATTTTTTAGAAATCATTCACTTTGGACTTTGCCATGTTTCACAGAGTGTTTGTAGATAATGAAACTCTACACGTCAAAGCAGATTGTGCAGCCAAGCAGCTCTGAAGGGACTTGAATATTTAGGGTAGATTTTATTTATTTACCTATTTCCTACCTTGTTGCTAAAATGATTTAAGAAGTTTCTAAAGATGCATGTAGTGAAATAAGATGAATTTAAAACAACCAAGAAAATAAGAGAAAGGGAAGATAAGGTTAGGCAAATAAGATGGAGCCAGGGATGAGGTTAATATCCAAAAACGAATTCCCTGGACACTGGATGACGTAAGAGGGTAAGAAAGATCTCTTGCTTCTTCCCTTCCACACTCCACTACCTTCTAATTTCTCCATTTAGTTTCCTAAATGCTGTGAATGGATGTCATCATCTCTAAGCTAACCAATTCTCTAAGAGCCATCTCTAAGCTAACCAATTCTCTCATTTCTTTCTTGGGGGAAGGGATAGAAATTAAGTGTTAGCTAAAGGTGAGTGTGGAAGGTAAGGGGGTGGTCTCATACTTCCTCCCTCTCCAGATTGCTCCCACTATGTAGACTCCTTCTTGTAAGCGTTAAGAGGCGAAGTAGATTAATAAGGATGAGTCTATTACAACGCCCAGTCTTCAGCAAAGACAAGACAGAAAACCAGAAATCCATGTGTAGGTAAGGAAAAGTTAGTGATGCTAACACTCAAGGTTTTCAGGGTCTACATAGTAACATTTGTTGATTTCCCTCTTGAGTTCAGGCCAAATGCGAGATGAATACAGGAATCAGTACGATGAAAGCTAAAATAATGAGCTTTATGTCTAGGGTAGCTGAATTTGAGAATGCAGCTTGACCTACAACCAAAATGTAGCTCCAGTGAATCTCCCATAAACAAAATCTACACTTCAAAGCCCAGGTCTCCCCACTGCAAAGGCTCAGTACACCTGGGTGAGCTCCAAATGCATGAGCAGAGCAGTGGTTTCCTGACAACAGGTGGCTCCAGAGAGGACCAAGGAGAAGTGGAGCCACACGTGGTCAGAGCCTTTTCTGTATCTCACCAATCAGATGAGTCTCTCCTCCCAGGGAGGCAGGTGGGAGGGGCTTAATGAATGAGAGCAAGGGAAGAAAGAGCCCACAGTTTTATCTCCCATACTTCTCTATCTTCCATGGGATGGGACATAAGAATTATCTCTGAAGGGCCACCAACTAACACTACCATCTTCAGCTGCATCAAACTTATAACACTGGCCTGCATAGCAAGAGATGGGAAACAAAACTGTACAACGGTTGATTCATTTCTAAAATCTACATCCAAAGCTGCAGGTAACATGCATCTGTGTGGGAACCTAAACAGGTATGTGGGGCAAGACTACTGTTTTCTTCTGTCCCTAAAGGCCTAAGAGTCATGAGAATTTGGCAAATAGCATATTAACATAAGATTCTGTTGTGGTGTCTCTTCCTGGTACAGTCACACCAGGCTGAATGGTATACTGGGTCATCTCTCCACATAAAACCCTTCAATGCCCTTTCTTGTTTTCACCTTCAGGCCCTAACCTTTTAGAATATCCTACAAAGCCTCATCCTGTGGTCTAGTACCTGCCTACAGGAGTAGCTCATCCCTTATGGCTCCCTCCCTCACCCTCACCTTCTTCACTCAGTATCTGTGAAGCACCAGCACTGTCACATGGGCATTTTCTTCCACATGAAAGACCCTGGTCCTCCCTCTTCTCCTGGTTAACTTCAACCATCCTTCAAGTCTCCATTTCCTCCAGGAAGCATCTCCACAGAATTGGTTAGGAACACCTCCCCATGGGGTTCCCCTGTACCACCTTCTGCATTACACCAATTGTCAGTTTGCTTGTCAACGTATCTTACTGAAATTTATACTTCATAATGTCAGGGACCATGACCACCATTTTATTATTTATTCCCAACACACAGCACAGTGTTTGTCATGTTGAGGGTGCAGAAAATGTACTGATTACATAGTGAGTGAGGGACACCATCCCCCAACCTTAGAACCCACCCCCAACCCTCACCCCAGCCTCCTTTCCCTCCTGTCAAGGGATTCAGATTCAAAGTAATGAGAAATATAAATTCCATGATCTGGCTTCTTAATTAAATGTTTTTATTGTTGTTACTACGACTGGATAAAGTCTACAAGGACCAGAGAACTTGGAAATCAGCAATGTCCCCTTCTTTCCTGCCAACCTAAAGAAGGTTACAGCTCTCTTCTCCCAAAAGTACACCCTCCCACGTGGCTTATTAGCTCATATAGAACTCAGAAGCCAACGAGATTGTCTTTGTTCAATTGCACAGCCCTTGCTCTGTTTAAGCCCGCTTTAGCCTCGCTCTCGCCGGGCAGACTACAGCCCTTTCCCCATCAAGAATGACTTTGATTGAAGGTTGGGTGCAGCTATCAAAACTCACACTCTTAAAATATTTCAAATCCAAACATTTCTACTCGCAACCTTCTGAGATGTCCCTTGGACCAACCTGTTTGTACTTATTCCATCTACTACAGTGACCAGGGTGGTGCTCTGGAGAAGGTGACCATTCTGGTCTTTTCCCAGGCAATACCGGCTATCTCAAAAAGTTCTCTTATCTCTATAATGGGGTTCTTAAAATGCGCTCATAGATTGGGTTTTAGGTGATCTGCAAACCATTTAAATGCACGTGCAAAATTTCATGCAAACTTGCATTTGTCTGCGAAAGGGTTTGTAGCATTTACCAGGTTTTCAGAGTAGCCCAGTATCTCAGGATCCTACAGATTTAACTGGACGGTCTTTTACAGAATTTTCCAAGTGATCCCACCAATGACTTTCTGTTTTCTAAACATTTGTTCATTGAGGCCATTTCATGGGCTTGGAGAATCCTTTCTTACACACTGGGCTCTTCGTCTAAGCTCAGAGTGCTCCCATCTTGGGGTCCCTCTCAAGGCAGGAAGCCATGAGGGGAGATGGCAAGGAAGTAGAAGACCAGGCATTGTAGCATTCAATGCATCAAGACTTCACAGAAAGAGACCACTAGTAGAAGTTTAGGTACCACGTTCTACTGTGGATTCTGCCTATAAATATGTATGTCACCATGTGTAAGTTACTTATATTCTCTTTTCTTCAATTTCTTCAATATCTGTTGAAAAGAGAAAAGGAAGGGAAACAACAACACCTCCACTGTGGACTAGATAAACCCTAAAGTCTCTCCAAGCTCTAAAATATCTATAATCACATGAAATCAGACCATATGGGTAATTGATGTGTAAATGATGCTATGGGTAATTGGCTGCACAGGTACAAGCTGTGCTGTATTTTATGTTCTAGAAGTGCCTGACCATGTTGTATGTCAAACAGGTAACATAAGACTATTTTGATGTGTTCTTTTTCTTTATTCCATGTAATTTTCATCTGTGTTTGAGACACCAGCTATGGCAGTAAGATCTCAAAAGCATAACAGAATGAATCAATCAATTTTCAGCTTTTAAGTCTCAAAACAGACTGAAATCCTTAGTAAAGAACACAGACTGAATAGATTTACATAGAAGGCATAATAATATAGAGCTTGTTTTCTTGCTCTAGACTTGATAAGACTTCTCAGAGTAGTGGAGGAAAAAAAGAGATGAAGAGGTAGTGCTCGGGCACAAGCGTGTCCCTTGGGAAAGGGGCCTGCATACTGCTACTGTCCCCCAGGGCTACACTGGTTTGAAAGCCAAATGTAGAAAAGACTTGTGTTAGTTTCCTGTGTACATCCTTGGAGTGTGAACATGGTGCTAGACCTCCTTGTACCAGTGGAGTGATGGTACAGTAGGGGCACAGGGAATCTAGGAAAAGAGGGTCTGGAACAGTTCATGCTTCCCATTGCCCAAGAGCATCACAGGGAGCACCTTCTCTCAGATTTCTTTTTGGATTAGCATCTGCTGTAATCTCTTTATGCTGATGGAGAGGTGGGATTCTCTTCAGTAGCAAACAAAATTCTTATTCTGATGTGAGCATGAGATATATTTAGAAAGGTGACTGTCAAAATCCCCTCTGAGCCCTTTCACATTTGACAATTAAGATATGCATCCTTTCAACACAGTAAGTTATATTTAATTAATAACATAAATTACAATGGTTATCTTCAGATATATTGACTTGTCTACACAAAAATAACTGGTAGATAATTCCTTTAGAAAATATAAAATGCTTCCATTTCAACATATATCAAGCTCTTAATAACATGCAAATGCCATAGCAACACCCTAGCAGTTAATGACATGACTCCTTTGCCATGGAAACACATCTGGGCTCAATAGAAAGGTGCCGGCTGTGATGCCAAACACGTCTCTGAGCTCTCTGAACTGACAGGACCAGCCCTGAGTTTGGATTTATCTATGCACTTGCACAATGTGCCACTTTGTACGGTTCTGCCTGTGGCCACAGACCACAGACTGCTCCCACAACGCCTTTCCTTGAGGGCATCACAAGGAAAACAAGCTGGTATATTAAAACCACACTGACACTCATTATTCTAACACCAGGAAAAGAAATATTAATCCAGTGAAATCAGGTTTTGAAAATACCCAAGGTACAAAAGCTGGGATTTCACAGTGGGGAAAACAAATAGGACATTTGCAGATCCACATTATACCCCATGCAGAAAAGTTTTAAAATGACAAACACAGGACTTGACAGATCATGGTCCACACACAAAATGTGTGGTTGGCCTCTTGCACCACCTCAAAACATTTTCTTGCCAAGCAAAGAAACATAGGTGGAAAATGTTTCTCCGCCACCAGAATGCACCATTTATATCTTACAGCGTCATTGACTCAGGAATGAAAAACATTTTTGACTCTATAGTTCTGATGTTTCAGGTGAATAAACTGAAGCATACAAACTTGGTAACAGTCTTTCTTACCCTTCATTTTTTTCTAGAAATTTGACTTTTTTCTCATTAAGTATCATGTAGTAACTTTGGCTCTGTGAAATTTTGAAAGGCAATGTAATTTCCTTCGGATATTCATCTCCGCCCACCTCTTATTATGTCAAGATAGTTAATGTCTCTGGGAAATATTAATGTGGCTTCAATAATAATGTTTTTGAAAGCACTTTCAAAAATAAGGATTATGATTCTATCCCAGAAAAGATCACCTTCTCTTCCCAGTTGGCTACTTTCAGCTTGAGGAGTGTAAAAGAAAAATAATCAAGAGATACAAGTGTGGGCATCCCTCTAAACAGGCAGAACCAGGCAGAGGAGAGGCCACCTCCAGGGGGAGGCTGTGAGCTGACTTGGGTGCAGTTTCGGCATCCTGGGCTGGTGTTTGTGCTAAGAGAACCAGCAAGTTAGCAACAGCTTCACTGGGGCCCAGAAACAGCTGAGACAGAGCTGAGACTTCAGGCTGGAGATGCCCCAGGTCAAACTCCTGAGTACCATTCTGTAGGTTGCATGTTCACCCTGATGGTAGTTTCTTTTGCTGTGCAGAAGCTCTTTAGTTTGATTAGATCCCAGTTGTCAATTTTGGCTTTTGTTGCCATTGTTTTTGGTGTTTTAGACATGAAATCCTTGCCCATGCCTATGTCCTGAATGGTATTGCCTAGGTTTTCTTCCAGGGATTTTATGGTTTTAGGCCTAACATTTAAGTCTTTAATCCATCTTGAATTAATCTTTGTATAAGGTGTAAGGAAGGGATCCAGTTTTGGCTTTCTACATATGGCTAGCCAGCTTTCCACCACCATTTATTAAATAGGGAATCCTTTCCCCATTGCTTGTTTTTGTCAGGTTTGTCAAAGATCAGATAGTTGTAGATATGTGGCATTATTTCTGAGGGCTCTGTTCTGTTCCATTGATCTATATCTCTGTTTTGGTACCAGTACCATGATGTTTTGGTTACTGTAGCCTTGTAGTATAGTTTGAAGTCAGGTAGCGTGATGCCTCCAGTTTTGTTCTTTTGGCTTAGGGATGACTTGGCAATGAGGGCTCTCTTTTGGTTCCATATGAACTTTAAAGTAGTTTTTTCCAATTCTGTGAAGAAAGTCATTGGTAGCTTGATGGGGATGGCATTGAATCTGTAAATTACCTTGGGCAGTATGGCCATTTTCACGAGATTGATTCTTCCTACCCATGAGCATGGAATGTTCTTCCATTTCTTTGTATCCTCTTTTATTTCGTTGAGCAGTGGTTTGTAATTCTCCTTGAAGAGGTCCTTCACATCCCTTGTAAGTTGGATTCCTAGGTATTTTATTCTCTTTGAAGCAATTGTGAATGGGAGTTCACTCATGATTTGGCTCTCTGTTTGTCTGTTATTAGTGTATAAGAATGCTTGTGATTTTTGCACATTGATTTTGTATCCTGAGACTCTGCTGAAGTTGCTTATCAGGTTAAGGAGATTTTGGGCTGAGACGATGGGGTTTTCTAGATATACAATCATGTCATCTGCAAACAGGGACAATTTGACTTCCTCTTTTCCTAATTGAATACCCTTTATTTCCTTCTCCTGCTTGATTGCCCTGGCCAGAACTTCCAACACTATGTTGAATAGGAGTGGTGATTTTTGCAATCTACTCATCTGACAAAGGGCTAATATCCAGAATCTACAATGAACTCAAACAAATTTACAAGAAAAAAACAACCCAATCAACAAGTGGGCTAAGGATATGAAAAGACCCTTCTCAAAAGAAGACATTGATGCAGCCAACAAACACATGAAAAAATGCTCATCATCACTGGCCATCAGAGAAATGCAAATCAAAACCACAATGAGATACCATTTCACACCAGTTAGAATGGCGATCATTAAAAAGTCAGGGAACAACAGGTGCTGGAGAGGATGTGGAGAAATAGGAACACTTTTACACTGTTGGTGGGACTGTAAACTCATTCAACCATTGTGGAAGTCAGTGTGGCGATTCCTCAGGGATCTAGAACTAGAAATACCATTTGACCCAGCCATCCCATTACTGGGTATATACCCAAAGGATTATAAATCATGCTGCTATAAAGACACATGCACACATATGTTTATTGCAGCACTATTCACAATAGCAAAGACTTGGAACCAACCCAAATGTCCAACAATGATAGACTGGATTAAGAAAATGTGGCACATATACACCATGGAATACTATGGAGCCATAAAAAGGATGAGTTCATGTCCTTTGTAGGAACATGGGTGAAGCTGGAAACCATCATTCTCAGCAAACTATCGCAAGGACAAAAACCAAACACCACATGTTCTCACTCATAGGTGGGAAATGAACAATGAGAACACATGGACAAAGGAAGGGGAACATCACCCACCAGGGCCTGTTGTGGGGTGCGGGGAGAGGGGAGGGATAGCATTAGGAGATATACCTAATGTAAATGATGAGTTAATGGGTGCAGCACACCAACATGGCACATGTATACATACGTAACAAACCTGCACATTGTGCACATGTACCCTAAAACTTAAATTAAAAAAAAAAAGTTCAAAAAAAAACAAACAAACTCCTGAGTACAGTTTTTGTGCTGAGCTCTCAAAGAGATTACAGAATGAACAAATCAAGATTCTTCTATAAGACTGAAGTGCTGGTTACCAACTTTCCTGGTTAACATTCAGCAAAAGCATTTTCTCTCTAAGTCCTGGAACTAGGATCAGGATATTTTCTTTTGTAAAATTCACTTGTTACTTTCAGACCAAAGTTGTGTTTTACATAAATCATGCGATCTTGGCACTCCTGATTGCTTGGTTGAAAAAATATTTCTGAATAAAAAATATTTTAAATTTGCCATTTTAAAATAATTGTCTTCTTTGTACCCAAATGTTGTTTTCTACTATTTGTGATTCTGGAAATATTTGATCCAGGTCCATCACGGTGGCACATATGCAACTGTTTGTCAGTGGCTTCTGCCCTCGGGTCTACAAGAAACATCCCCCCATGTTGAACAGTTTTTCCAAAACGGTTTCCTTAAAACTAACTTAGAAGTCATTCTTACAAAACACATATGACACATATGAAATGTGACCACTTCTCACTACCTCTGTCAATACTGCCTGAAGTCAAGCCACCAACATCTCATAACCTCCTGATTTCCCTGTCTTTCTTCCTCGTCAGGGCTGCTGGGACAATTTATCTTATTTATTTATTTATGAGAAGGAGTCTTGCTCTGTTGCCCAGGCTGGAATGCGGTGGCGTGATCTCGGCTCACTGCAATCCTCTGCCTCCCGGGTTCAAGCGATTCTCCTGCCTCAGCCTCCTCAGTAGCTGGGATTACAGACATGCACCACCATGCTCAGCTAATGTTTGTGTTTTCAGTAGAGATGGGGTTTCATCATGTTGGCCAGACTGGTCGCAAACACCTGACCTCAGATGTTCCGCCCGCCTTGGCCTCCCAAAGCACTGGGATTACAGGTGTGAGCCACCGTGCCAGGCCAGTCAATTCCTTTAAAACATTGGTCAGATCATTTTCCCTGCCATTCCCCATCTATCCATCTCACTTAAAATAAAGCTCAAAGCCTTTGCCATAACCTGTGCCACGCTGCATGGACGTTTGACCAGTGCAGTCACTCAAGGCCATGTGCCAGAAGAGTCCTGTGCTTGGTACTTAATGCTTTACAATTGATAACTTCAAATTCTTAATAATTTATCTCTTAATTTGAGCTTTGTAAGTGAAATACAGTGGAACCATGGAGCATACACTCAGGGCTTGGAGCCTCAGCTCATGGGCAATCCTGCCTCCCTCCTCTTCTCTTCCTTCCCAGGATGGGTTTTGGCTGCCTGCTCTCTACTCCCTGGCGTCCCGGGCCCTACCTGGCCTCCCCTTCTCTCTCTCTGACACATGGCAGCTGATGACTTGCACCCAGAATGGACCTGGACTGGCCAGGCAACCACAACACTTTGACAGGCAATTGCGGGGTAGGTCGGGGTAGGTAGCAGGGCAAGTCCCTTATTCCCCCTAATCCAGGTAACTAGCATATCCCAGCACAGCAGTTGCAATTCCGTGGGTGCCACCCATAACATTGGGTGGGGAGGGTCCATGGGAAGGGGAGATAGACTTCCTCTCCCTGCAGCCACGTAGGGCAGGTTGGTGGCCCAGTGGCTGGCAGGAGGAGGAACCCTGCTTAGTCCATGAAGCCAGGGGATTTTGCATACACTAAGTAGCAAAGCAGGGACTCCAGGTGCCCATGGGGGTCTGTACTCCTCCATGAATATTCCCAAACTCAAGGGAGTAAGATATAAACAGCAAATAAAATTACAACAAGGGAGAGACTGTAAAAAAAAAAAAAAAAAAAAAAAAAAAGCTTTCTATTTTAGTAACCTTTAAAGCCATTTTTTTATTGCTTTTTGAACAAGGGGCCTCACATTTTCATTTTGCACTGAGACTCCTAAACAATGTAGCCAGCGTTGCCTGTGCATGGCCAGCTCCTGCCTGTCTCTCCAACTCCTTCCCCTCCACTACCTCCCTTCCCTCCACTGCCTCCCTCCTGCACTCCTCTCAATCAACCTGGAGTTCCTGTAGGTCAGAACACGCTCACCAAGCTCAATCCTGCCTCTTGGCCTTTACCTTGCTATTTCCCCTGCCAGGAACACTTTTTCCCCAGGTCTCTCCATGGTCATTCTCTCATTTTTTATTTTATTTTTCTCAAATGTCACCTCCAGATCCTGATTTCAAATGATCACTACCTTTCCTGTTCGTGCCATGAAAATGCCACCATATGCTAATCACCCATTATCTCCTGACTCAGGCTTGATTTTCTTCCAAATATTTAAAGCTAGTCAACATATATAGATACATGCTCTCTTTTGTATGATTGGTCTTACTCACTGGAATGCATATTCCATGAAGTTAAGGAATTTTGCTTTTGGTTTATCTCTTTATCCCCAGTGTCTAGAATAGTGCCAAGCACATAAAAGGCTGTTAATAATATGTGTTGAATAAGTGCATAAACTCATCTGTGTCTGTCACTCTGTATTCCTCTTGCTCATGGTTTCCTTTTGGAGGAGGAAAAAAATCCATCTCCTAAGGGGAGATCCTCCCCACACTGAAGCCTGTTATCCATTCAGTTATTCATCAAGAAAGTACTTACTGGATATCTAGTATGTACCATTATTTGTTGTGCCTATTTCAAGTGAGGTGCTATGTTAGACCCCCATGAGGACTCCTAAGACCATCCTCATTTTTCTTTCTTCACAATTATTTAGAGCATTCCATTAATTTTCTAATGCTTCCTTTCCATTACTCACCTGTGAGCAAAACACCATTGTAGGTTCAGTATACACTCACCATAGCACTTAAGAATAGAGCAAAGAGTGACATTATTCAATTTGGGGATGTTGGCTTTTGATTTTCAATTATAACAACAAATTGTTTTATGGTATCGTCCTGTCCTCTGATGCCAACTCTGAGTGATCACAAAAATGCTCCACATGTTCTTCAGGGAGGAAGTTCCCTGTTCTATATATATATATATATATATTTTTTTTTTGGCTTCAAATGGCTGCCCAGTAGCCTAATTTTCCCTTTGGCATTCTTCTGGCAGGTGTTACCCATTCATGGTAGATGGTCTCCCTTGAAAGGAGAGGAAACTAAGGCCCAAACTCCCTCTGAACCCCCCTGTGACATCTATGCTCTTCCATCCCACTCTTTATCTTCTTGACATCAACTGGCGTGGGCACAGCTTGGTGCTTGTCATGAAATTAGCGATACACCAGCAGCCTATGTGACCACTCTTCCAGACTTCGGTGACTTTTTTTTTTTTTTTTTTTTTTTTTTTGAGACAGAGTCTCACTCTGTCGCCCAGGCTGGAGTGCAGTGGCATGATCTTGGCTCACTGCAAGCTCCGCCTCCCAGGTTCACGCCATTCTCCTGCCTCAGCCTCCCGAGTAGCTGGGACTACAGGCGCCCGCCACCATGCCCGGCTAATTTTTTGTACTTTTAGTAGAGACGGGGTTTCACCATGTTAGCCAGGATGGTCTCGATCTCCTGACCTCGTGATCCACCTGCCTCGGCCTCCCAAAGTGCTGGAATTACAGGCGTGAGCGACCACGCCCAGCCTGGTGATTCTTTTAAATACGTTATGACCCTTCCCTCACCCCACTGGCACCACATGAACCAGTGACCCCAAGTTTGGAAGCACCAGTTCCACTGGATGCCCCCCATTGTTTATGGCTTCCCAGACAAATTCTTAGGCCCTGTGAACTTGTTTTCATACGAGACAAATGAATTCAATTTAGCAGGAAACATCTTATGTCTCAGGGGAGATCTCCAAGTATGAACTACCTTCTGCCAGGGCTGGGCTAATTCTTTTTAAATTAGGCCACTTAAGGATTCTTGCAGTTATTAAAAGTCAAAATAAGTAAAGAAAGATAAACCACCAGTCCCATGGGGAAATCAGAAGAAAGCAGAGTATCCTCAATTTTCCTCTGCTGCTGGGCTATATAGATATCTCACAATGGAATGGACTTGGGGTTTGGACAACTAGTAAGGTAAAAAAGAATATCATAAATAAATCAATTAAAAATAAAATAAATTCATAGCAAGAAAAAGCAGACAAATCCATATGCAAAAGTAGCCGCCCAAAAGAATACCCTCCAATATGCACTATTTGCAGTTTGACTCACCAAATGATTATTACTTAATATTCAAAATAATATAGTGGAATCTAAATCTGTCCTTTGAGCAATCTTTGAGCAATTGCAACCTGCCTTATTGAGGTCTGGGGAAGGCCCTCTCCCAAAGAGAGCCATTGAGGTGGAAATCACCCTTACAGGCAATCCTATCTGACCCACAGTCTTTGATCATCACAGAGGGGGCTCCTCTTTTCCAGGGCAGATAGCTGCATGATAATGCTCATAGTATTTTGCTGTGATTCCCAGACCCCAAGTTTGATTTGGCCTAGTAAGAATAAAGCTGCCGCCGGGTACAGTGGCTCACGCCTGTAATCCCAGCACTTTGGGAGGCCGAGGTGGGCGGATCACGAGGTCAGGAGATCAAGACCATCCTGGCTAACACAGAGAAACCCCGTCTCTATTAAAAAATACAAAAAATTAGCCAGGCGTAGTGGTGGGCGCCTGTAGTCCCAGCTACTCAGGAGGCTGAGGCAGGAGAATGGTGTGAACCCAGTAGGCGGAGCTTGCAGTGAGCCAAGGTCGCGCCACTGCACTCCAGCCTGGGCAATAAGAGTGAGTCTCCGTCTCAAAAAAAAAAAAAAAAAAAAAAAAAAAAATCTGCCACCAGTATACACTGAATCCTTCTTGAAAACCTGGGACAATTATATAAGTCAGCTTGGAAATCCAGTACTTTGTACTCTTACACACACTGACGATGGCTTTTTCTTGCTTTTTTCCACCCCTAATTTTAATTGTTTATTGATTCCAATAATTATTTTCTAGGCAACATTTCACTTTCTAAATGGCTGGCTACAGGAAGGTCTTTTGCTGTTGAAATGTTTGGAACAAGAGACTGGTTCTTTGAGGTAATTGTGTATGCATATTTTATGAAAGCTGTTATCAGCTACTCATCCACGACTGTGAAACAGTCTTCCTTCTTTTTATAGAGCTGAAAAAAGATGAGAATAGATGGTTTTCTGTTGCAGCTAGGGTGAGTGTTCATGGAATTCACTTCTTCCACCCCCTGCTGATGCACTTAGTGTTTATCTTCTGTCACATACAGGACCCAAAACAGAACTTTTGTTCACAAGGAGCACGGGTAGAATTAGATGGTGAAAACACTTTTCAACTCTTTCAAAGCTATAACTTTAATAATATTGTAAATAGGCTGGGCACGATGGCTCACACCTGTAATCCCAGCACTTTGGGAAGCCAAGGTGGGAGGATTGCTTCAGCCCAGGAATATTGAGGCCAGGCTGGGCAACATGGCGAGACCCTGTCTCTACAAAAGATGAAAAATTAGCCAGGGGTGGTGGCATGTGCCTGTACTCCCAGCCACTCAGGATGCCAAGGTGGGAGAATCGCCTAAGCCTTGGAGGTTAAGGCTTCAGTGAGCCATGATTGCTTCACTGCATTCCAGCCTGAGTAACAGCGCAAGACCCTGCCTCAAAAAAACAAAAAAACAAAAAAACAAAAAAAAAAGAAAGAAAGAAAGAAAAAGAAAGAAAAGAAAAGAAAAAAAAAGACACTGATTCCTAGGTAAATTATGGAATTTATCTCAAATTAAACTTTGGTTCAGTTCAAGTCCAAATAGAATTGTTTTGCCTCCTTCCCACTAATACAATTTGAGACCCTGAAATACTCAAAGGATTGCCTTTGATGGCATCCTGAGATTTTATCTGGGGCAAAATGGTAATTTTTTCTGTTTAAGGTTGCTGATTTTGTGAAGCTTTTTAAACTGCATTTTGTTTCCCATTCGTTTTCAATTTACTTTCAGTACACTTTGGTATCTGTGGAGGTCCTAATACCTTTTGAGTGGGCATGTAATTATAGTGTAGTAGAAGGCAATAGTGGGTCACAGCTGACAGAGCAGGCTCCTGCCAAAACTAATTTTCATTGATAGGATTCCTACAACTGAATCAAACATAGGAAGCCCATATCAATCAGAGTGAACTACTGTAGAGTTCTACCCAAACCATTTTAGCTTCTCTGGGCTCCATTTTTTTTGCAGAATAGAGACATTGGCTGAGATTATCTCCTTCCTGCTGCCTCCCAGAAGGTTAATGCCAGGAGGTCCAGGATACATCTCATGATTTAATTATCAGATCCCCTTTCTTTAGAATTTCCTCTTGAGCTGCCCAAGTCTTATTATTGATTTTTGGGAGTACCTGGGACTACAGGCTTATGCCATCATGCCTGGCTAATTTTTAAATTTTTTGTAGAGATAGGGTCTCACCATGCTGCCCAGGCTGGTCTCAAACTCCTGGGCTCAAGCAGCCCTCCTACCTCAGCTTCCCAAAGTGCTGGGGTTACAGGCATGAGCCACCACGCCAGGCCTATTTTTCTGTATAAACTGAGTATGTATTTAAGATTTTTATGCATATTTTGAAAGTTTTACATTGCTGGTCAAAGTTAAAAAAGTATTCTTTTGTAGGCTGATAGTTTACTTAAAACATATTTGAGAAAGCTTTTGGTTTCTATTTCCAGTTGCTCAAACCATGTTTCGGAATTTCTAAATCATGTACATTTGCTTTTGTTCTTTTTGTTCTCACCCCTTATCAGGCAGCAGTGTTTAATAATCCATAGGCTATAGACCTCTGCAGGACTCTCTGGAATCTTAGCCACTTTGGATTTCCTTATAGCAGTGACATCATTTCTATTGCTAATTCTATGCCAATGCCCCTTTGGGGAATGCATTTATTCCTAAAATACACTGTCATAAAATTAAATGACTATATCAATTGCCAACAATATATTTTATACAAATGACATTTTGTTCCCAAAAATAAATCACTATGGGAAAGATACCTCACAAATCATGTTTTGTGAGGCTCTAAGTTTCAATTCTAACAACATCCTCACCCCTCCCCATTTACAGTAATCTGCCTTAGAGATTCGTAGCTTATCCAATTAATAAGCTTTCTCATCAAAATCTGGCATTTAACTGACATGAGCTTTCTTTACCAATTTTATCCTGTGTCTGTGTGTATACTCTGTTTGGAGGAATGTGCATTTGAATGGAGGCTGAGGCAGAGATGGAGGGGGAAGGATGTGCAGGATTATCAGTGGCATGCCTTGTGTGTGAGTGAGCCTGGATGTGCCTGCAATGGAATTTCCTCTGGTCGTTAATCATGAACATATTTATTACTTGAACCTTGTTTTTCCCCTGATGTGTGTGTTAAATCATATATTTTCCATCCTAACATAAGTAATTAAGTTTTGAGTTATTTATATATCCCTATTTTACTTCCTCATTGCAAAGGGTAAGTGAAACAGAATGAACTCACAAGTTAACACAATTGTATTAAGGCAATGCACTCAGTGGCAAAACTAAAAACTGAAACGGAAAAGCTTGCTTTCAGTGTCTCCTTCTTAGATTATTTAAAACGTAGAAAAAATCAAGCAATATACACCAATATAAGAGCCAATTCCATAAAGTATTAGTGACAATAAATCTCCTACAGACAGAAACTTTGTAAGAGGTTCAAAATAGACACAGTAAGAGTAAGTATGACTGGGCATAATGGCTCACACCTGTAATCCCAACGCTTTGGGAAGCCAAGGCGAGCAGATCACGAGGTCAGGATATCGAAACCATCCCGGCCAACGTGGTGAAACCCTATCTCTACTACAAATACAAAAATTAGCTGGGTGTGGTGGCATGTGCCTATAATCCCAGCTACTCAGGAGGCTGAGGCAGGAGAATCTCTTGAACCCGGGAGGCAGAGATTGCAGTGAGCTGAGATCATGCCACTATACTCCAGCCTGGAGACAGAGAGAGACTCCATCTCAAAAAAAAAAAAAAAAAAAAAAAAAAGATTAAGTGCATGTCCCAAATCAATCCATGACACAAAACAATGCATCCCACTACCATCCTTTTCCAAACACAAGACTATTTCTGTATTTTTTGGTTACATTGCTTCTATGCTAACATGAATTAAAAAGAGCTTGGTTTTGTTCTGCCTCACAAATTGTAATGCTGTTTGCATTTCTCACTGTGCTACAATGAAACTTTATTGCCACCCGCTAATCCCTGGAATCTCTGTATCCAGAGTGTAGAAGTAATGAAGATACAAATAACCAAACCACTAAAACCCTAGACGGCAACTCAAGAATTTGGCAGTGTTTCATTTTTAATTGCAATTATTATTTTGTTTCTTGAATCTTTATTGTGGTTCCATCGCTTTAGAGACACCCAGCTACCCTCTACAACAGTTTTCCAATGTGAAACTAATCTAGCCACTGCCAGATGGTATGGCTTATGCTTTTTTCCCTCCTGGAGAGAAGAATTTGAGATTATATGCTATTGGAAAAACATGATTGTTGTTATTCCAAAATGTGCAAGTCATGGTGTATATTCCTCCAGAAATGTTTGTACCAGTCCATGGCTTCAACCCAGAATCCCTCCTACCAGCCTGAAAGACCAAGTTGGAAAGTTATTTAGGACTTTAGAGACATATGCTCAACTTTGCATCTCATTCTCAACTTGACCTGTGGTCAGTTTTGAAATTTAACCTACTTTTTAAACATTTAGTTTAGGGACTAAGACAAAAAAGCTCAATAGGGTTAGGTAAAGTGCTTAAATAATGGGGATGATTTTTCTTGATGAGGGAAGCTATCTTCAAGGCTGCAAAGAGGGTTAGGACAAGGATGGTAGCCACAAGTTGTGTATTTTATTTGAGCATGAGCCAAAATAAACTTATTAACTGTTAGCTGAAAGCAGGCTAGAAATAAGACATTTCTTACTTTATATTTTTAAGCTTTTAATTGTATTAAAAATAAATTTCTCTTTCAATATTAAAAAAGAATAGATAGAACTAAATAGAAAATAAACAGCTATGTCAACTTAAGACAAATTAAAGGACTTTTCAAAGTTCTCTTTGTGCAGTCCTAAGAATGCTCAGTCTATTACTAGTGCAAAGAATTTCAGAAACAAGTCACCATCATGAGCTGACAGGAAAATAAATTCAGGCTCATTCTTGAAATCCAGGATTACAAGGCACTTCACTCTCAGATTGGGCCCCCCAGTTTCCATCACACCACAGCTGGGTGGCAAAAGGTCAACATACAGCCATTTTTAGGACTAAAAGATACTGAGCCCTTGAAAATTGCAGACTATTTACTGTTGTCCCACAGTAATTGTGGAAGAGTCTTGGAAGCTCTTCTGAGAAATCCAGTGTAGTAAGAATGGAGAGAGAAAACGACAATATGAATAAAGGAAATCTAAGAGGGTTACAGGAACTAAAGAAATGACAGGAGTTCCTCCTCCCTTGCAGCAGGGGCTACAAATAGCCAGCTTCTATGGTACTCATTGACAAGACCTCAGACTTTTGAACGATCATTCAGCAGCTTTGTTCTGTTCAACAGACACTGATAAATGTTCCATGCACTGCACTAGGTTCTGGGGATACAATAATGCAATACATACAGAATCTCTCCTGACATGACTTAAGCTCTGAAGGAGGCCACAGATGGGTAAACCAGTAATTTCAATAAATCATTCTTCCCCTTCTCTCTTCACCTGGATGAGTGCAGCTCAGCCCTCCAGGGGAGCTTATATGACTCCTCCATGGTAGAAAGCCTCCTCAACTTACCCAGCTGGCTCGGTGTTCACGGTTGTGTTTCACAACGCTTTTCACATTTGTCATTTAGGAACATGTTTGTGTAGGCCGGGCGTGGTGGCTCACACCTGTAATCCTAGCACTTTGGGAGGCCAAGGTGGGCTCATCACGAGGTCAGGAGATCGAGACCATCCTGGCTAACAAGGTGAAACCCCCATCTCTGGTAAAAATACAAAAAGAAAAAATAGCCAGGTGTGGTGGTGGGCACCTGTAGTCCCAGCTACTTGGGAGGCTGAGGCAGGAGAATGGCATGAACCCAAGAGGCGGAGCTTGCAGTGAGCCGAGATCATGCCACTGCACTCCAGCCTGGGTGACAGAGTGAGACTCCATCTCAAAAAAAAAAAGTTTTTGTGTAAATATTTTCTAGAATACATTTTCTGTATAAAGGAAACTATCTGGTTTTGCCAATGCAGTCTTCCAAGCACAGAAGACAATACGTAGCACGCAGGAGGTATTCAAAGTAAACTTGAAGAATCAATCAATGAGAGGTGTTAAAAGCAATGATGAAAGTATACATGGGACACAGTATGAGCACAGAGAAAGGGTACTTTCCTGTGTCCTAAAAAAGGTAACCCATCTGGATTGTGAAGGATCTGTCTATGTTACCCAGGCAAGAAAGGAGGAGACTAGCATACCCAACTGTGAAAGCGACATGTTAAATCTCTGAAGAATGAAATGGCTTGTACCATGTGAGCCATTACAAACAATGCAGCACTACTGGGACAAAAATTAGGCGGGAAGGAGTAGTATAGCATGAAGCTCAAGAATACAGAATAAGAGAAGCAGCCAAGATGGCCAAATAGGAAAAGCTCCGGTCTACAGCCCCCAGCGTGAGCAACGCAGAAGACGGGTGATTTCTGCAGTTCCATATGAGGTACCGGGTTCATGTCACTAGGAAGTGCCTGACAATGGGCGCAGGACAGTGGGTGCAGTGCACCGTGTGCGAGTCGAAGCAGGGCGGGGCATTGCCTCACTCAAGAAGCACACGGGGTCAGGGAGTTCCCTTTCCTAGTCAAAGAAAGGGGTGACAGATGGCACCTGGAAAATCGGGTCACTCCCGCCCTAAAACTGCACTTTTCCGACAGGCTTAAAAAACAGCGCACCAGGGGATTATATCCCGCACGTGGCTCGGAGGGTCCTACGCCCATGGAATCTCGCTGATTGCTAGAACAGCAGTCTGAGATCAAACTGCAAGGTGGCAGTGAGACTGGGGGAGGGGCGCCCGCCATTGCCCAGGCTTGCTTAGGTAAACAAAGCAGCCAGGAAGCTCGAACTGGGTGGAGCCCACCACAGCTCAAGGAGGCCTGCCTGCCTCTGTAGGTTCCACCTCGAGAGGCAGGGCACAGACAAACAAAAAGACAGCAGTAACCTCTGCAGACGTAAAGGTCCCTGTCTGACAGCTTTGAAGACAGCAGTGGTTCTCCCAGCACGCAGCTGGAGATCTGAGAACGGGCAGACTGCTTCCTCAAGTAGGTCCCTGACCCCTGACCCCCGAGCAGCCTAACTGGGAGGCAACCCCCAGTAGGGGCAGACTGACACCTCACACGGCCGGGTACTCCTCTGAGACAAAACTTCCAGAGGAACGATCAGACAGCAGCATTCGTGGATCACGAAAATCCACTGTTCTGCAGCCACCGCTGCTGGTACCCAGGCAAACAGGGTGTGGAGTGGACCTCTAGCAAATACCAACAGACCTGCAGCTGAGAGCCCTGTCTGTTAGAAGGAAAACTAACAAACAGAAAGGACATCCACACCAAAAACCCATCTGTACATCACCATCATCAAAGACCAAAAGTAGATAAAACCACAAAGATGGGGAAAAAACAGAGCAGAAAAACTGGAAACTCTAAAAAGCAGAGCGCCTCTCCTCCTCCAAAGGAACGCAGTTCCTCACCAGCAATGGAACAAAGCTGGATGGAGAATGACTTTGATGAGTTGAGAGAAGGCTTCAGAGGATCAAACTACTCCGAGCTACAGGAGGAAATTCAAACCAAAGGCAAAGAAGTTGAAAAGTTTGAAAAAAATTTAGACGAATGTATAACTAGAATAACCAACACAGAGAAGTACTTAAAAGAGCTGATGGAGCTGAAAGCCAAGGCTCGAGAACTACGTGAAGAATGCAGAAGCCTCAGGAGCCAATGCGATCAACTAGAAGAAAAGGTATCAGTGATGGAAGATGAAATGAATGAAATGAAGCGAGAAGGGAAGTTTAGAGAAAAAAGAATAAAAAGAAACGAACAAAGTCTCCAAGAAATATGGGACTATGTGAAAAGACAAAATCTATGTCTGACTGGTGTACCTGAAACTGACGGGGAGAATGGAACCAAGGTGGAAAACACTCTGCAGGATATTATCCAGGAGAACTTCCCCAGTCTAGCAAGGCAGGCCAACATTCAGATTCAGGAAATACACAGAACTCCACAAAGATACTCCTCGAGAAGAGCAACTCCAAGACACATAATTGTCAGATTCACCAAAGTTGAAATGAAGGAAAAAATATTAAGGGCAGCCAGAGAGAAAGGTTGGGTTACCCACAAAGGGAAGCCCATCAGACTGACAGCGGATCTCTCGGCAGAAACTCTACAAGCCAGAAGAGAGTGGGGGCCAATATTCAACATTCTTAAAGAAAAGAATTTTCAACCCAGAATTTCATATCCAGCCAAACTAAGCTTCATAAGTGAAGGAGAAATAAAATACTTTACAGACAAGCAAATGCTGAGAGATTTTGTCACCACCAGGCCTGCCCTAAAAGAGCTCCTGAAGGAAGCGCTAAACATGGAAAAGAACAATCGGTACCAGCCACTGCAAAATCATGCTAAATTGTAAAGACCATCGAGGCTAGGAAGAAACTGCATCAACTAATGAGCAAAATAACCAGCTAACATCAAAATGACAGGATCAAATTCACACATAACAATATTAACTTTAAATGGAAATGTACTAAATGCTCCAATTAAAAGACACAGACTGGCAAATTGGATAAAGAGTCAAGATCCATCAGTGTGCTGTATTCAGGAAACCCATCTCACGTGCAGAGACACACATAGGCTCAAAATAAAAGGATGGAGGAAGATCTACCAAGCAAATGGAAAACAAAAAAAGGCAGGAGTTGCAATCCTAGTCTCTGAAAAAATGGACTTTAAACCAACAAAGATCAAAAGAGACAAAGAAGGCCATTACATAATGGTAAAGGGATCAATTCAACAAGAAGAGCTAACTATCCTAAATATATATGCACCCAATACAGGAGCATCCACTTTCATAAAGTAAGTCCTGAGGGACTACAAAGAGACTTAGACTCCCACACAATAATAATGGGAGACTTTAACACCCCACTGTCAACATTAGACAGATCAACGAGACAGAAAGTTGACAAGTATACCCAGGAATTGAATTCAGCTCTCCACCAAGCGGACCTATTAGATATCTACAGAACTCTCCACCCCAAATCAACAGAATATACATTTTTTTCAGCACCACACCACACCTATTCCAAAATTGACCACATAGTTGGAAGTAAAGCTCTCCCCTCAGGAAATGTAAAAGAACAGAAATTATAACAAACTGTCTCTCAGACCACAGTGCAATCAAACTAGAACTGAGGATTAAGAAACTCACTCAAAACCACTCAACTACATGGAAACTGAACAACCTGCTCCTGAATGACTACTGGATACATAAAAAAATGAAGGCAGAAATAAAGATGTTCTTTGAAACCGACAAGAACAAAGACACAACATACCAGAATCTCTGGGACACATTCAAAGCAGTGTGTAGAGGGAAATTTATAGCACTAAATGCTGACAAGAGAAAGCAGGAAACATGCAAAATTGACACCCTAACATCACAATTAAAAGAACTAGAAAAGCAAGAGCAAACACATTCAAAAGCTAGCAGAAGGCAAGAAATAACTAAAATCAGAGCAGAACTGAAGGAAATAGAGACACAAAAAACCCTTCAAAAAATTAATGAATCCAGGAGCTCGTTTTTTTGAAAGGATCAACAAAATTGATAGACTGCTAGCAAGACTAATAAAGAAGAAAAGAGAGAAGAATCAAATAGACGCAATAAAAATGATAAAGGGGATATCACCTCCGATCCCACAGAAATACAAACTATCATCAGAGAATCCTACAAAAACCTCTATGCAAACAAACTAGAAAATCTAGAAGAAACGGATAAATTCCTCGACACATACACCCTCCCAAGACTAAACCAGGAAGAAGTTGAATCTCTGAATAGACCAATAACAGGCTCTGAAACTGTGGCAATAATCAATAGCTTACCAACCAAAAAGACTCCAGGACCAGATGGATTCACAGCCGAATTCTACCAGAGGTACAAGGAGGAATTGGTACCATTCCTTCTGAAACTATTCCAATCAATAGCAAAAGAGGGAATCCTCCCTAAATCATTTTATGAGGCCAGCATCATCCTGATACCAAAGCCAGGCAGAGACACAACCAAAAAAGATAATTTTAGACCAATATCCTTGATGAACATCAATGCAAAAATCCTCAATAAAATACTGGCAAACCGAATCCAGCAGCACATCAAAAAGCTTATCCACCATGATCAAGTGGGCTTCATCCCTGGGATGCAAGGCTGGTTCAATATAGGCAAATCAATAAATGCAATCCAGCATATAAACAGAACCAAAGACAAAAACCATATGATTATCTCAATAGATGCAGAAAAGGCCTTTGACAAAATTCGACAACCTTCATGCTAAAAACTCTCAATAAATTAGGTATTGATGGGACGTATCTCAAAATAATAAGAGCTATCTATGACAAACCCACAGCCAATATCATACTGAATGGGCAAAAACTGGAAGCACTCCCTTTGAAAACTGGCACAAGACAGGGATGCCCTCTCTCACCACTCCTATTCAACATAGTGTTGGAAGTTCTCGCCAGGGCAATTAGGCACGAGAAGGAAATAAAGGTTATTCAATTAGGAAAAGAGGAAGTCAAATTGTTCCTGTTTGCAGATGACATGATTGTATATCTAGAAAACCCCATTGTCTCAGCCCAAAATCTCCTTAAGCTGATAAGCAACTTCAGCAAAGTCTCAGGATACAAAATCAATGTACAAAAATCACAAGCATTCTTATACACCAATAACAGACAAACAGAGAGCCAAATCATGAGTGAACTCCCATTCACAATTGCTTCAAAGAGAATACGTAGGAATGCAACTTACAAGGGACGTGAGGGACCTCTTCAAAGAAAACTACAAACCACTGCTCAATGAAATAAAAGAGGATACAAACAAATGGAAGAACATTCCATGCTCATGGGTAGGAAGAATGAATACTGTGAAAATGGCCATACTGCCCAAGGTAATTTATAGATTCAATGCCATCCCCATCAAGCTACCAATGACTTTCTTCACAGAATTCAAAAAAACTACTTTAAAGTTCATATGGAACCAAAAAAGAGCCTGCATCGCCAAGTCAATCCTAAGCCAAAAGAACAAAGCTGGAGGCATCACACTACCTGACTTCAAACTATACTACAAGGCTACAGTAACCAAAACAGCATGGTACTGGTACCAAAACAGAGATATAGACCAATGGAACAGAACAGAGCCCTCAGAAATAATGCCGCATATCTACAACTATCTGATCTTTGACAAACCTGAGAAAAACAAGCAATGGGGAAAGGATTCCCTATTTAATAAATGGTGCTGGGAAAACTGGCTAGCCATATGTAGAAAGCTGAAACTGGATCCCTTCTTTACACCTTATACAAAAATTAATTCAAGATGGACTAAAGACTTAAATGTTAGACCTAAAACCATAAAAACCCTAGAAGAAAACCTAGGCATTACCATTCAGGACATAGGCATGGGCAAGGACTTCATGTCCAAAACACCAAAAGCAATGGCAACAAAAGCCAAAATTGACAAATGGGATCTAATTAAACTAAAGAGCTTCTGCACAGCAAAAGAAACTACCATCAGAGTGAACAGGCAACCTACAAAATGGGAGAAAATTTTCACAACCTACTCATCTGACAAAGGGCTAATATCCAGAATCTACAATGAATTCAAACAAATTTACAAGAAAAAAACAAACAACCCCATCAAAAAGTGGGTGAAGGACATGAGCAGGCACTTCTCAAAAGAAGACATTTATGCAGCCAAAAAACACATGAAAAAATGCTCACAATCACTGGCCATCAGAGAAATGCAAATCAAAACCTCAATGAGATACAGTCTCACACCAGTTAGAATGGCAATCATTAAAAAGTCAGGAAACAACAGGTGCTGGAGAGGATGTGGAGAAATAGGAACACTTTTACACTGTTGGTGGGACTGTAAACTAGTTCAACCATTGTGGAAGTCAGTGTGGCGATTCCTCAGGGATCTAGAACTACAAATACCATTTGACCCAGCCATCCCATTACTGGGTATATACCCAAAGGACTATAAATCATGCTGCTATAAAGACACATGCACATGTATGTTTATTGTGGCACTATTCACAATAGCAAAGACTTGGAACCAACCCAAATGTCCAACAATGATAGACTGGATTAAGAAAATGTGTCACATATATACCATGGAATACTATGCAGCCAGAAAAGAGGATGAGTTCATGTCCTTTGTAGGGACATGGATGAAATTGGAAATCATCATTCTCAGTAAACTATCGCAAGAACAAAAAACCAAACACCGCATATTCTCACTCATAGGTGGGAATTGAACAATGAGAACATATGGACACAGGAAGGGGAACATCACACTCTGGGTACTGCTGTGGGGTGGGGGGAGGGGGGAGGGATAGCATTAGGAGATATACCTAATGCTAAATGACGAGTTAATGGGTGCAGCACACCAGCATGGCACATGTATACATAACCTGTACATTATGCACATGTACCCTAAAACTTAAAGCATAATTAAAAAAAAAAGAATACAGCATATCTTTTATGTCATTCCAAACAATATTTGACTTTATCTCTGGCAATAAGCGGACTTTGAAGATTTTAAGTCAACGAGTAACATGGTTAGACTGTCAATGTACCATTCTATGGAAAATACAGGAGAATAAACACTCCTTCCATTAAGTATTGAAGACATATGACTGAAGGCCATACCCCTATCACTTCTCCCTAACACAGGCCCTAAAACAATCAAAATGGAGGCTCACAGTGCAGAAGCTTGCGGTACCCTCAGAGACAACATGAGCTAAGCATATCTCACATGCCCAGCTCTTATGGGGTTACAAGCCAAGCAAAACACTCTAGTTAAAGAAACAAAACATCTATGGAACAACCAGGGAACAAAACTACACATAAGTAATATGATGTAAACTGGGCACTTTGGGAGGCCGAGGTGGGCGGATCACGAGGTCAGGGGATCGAGACCATCCTGGCTAACACAGTGAAACCCCGTCTCTACTAAAAATACAAAAAAGTAGCCGGGCATGGTGGCAGGTGCCTGTAGTCCTAACTACTTGGGAGGCTGAGGCAGGAGAATGGCATGAACCTGGGAGGCAGAACTTGCAATGAGCCGAGATAGCGCCACTGCACTTCAGCCTAGGGGACGGAGTGAGACTCCATCCCCACCCCCCAAAAAAAAAAACTGGGAAAAAAAATAAACAGCTCATGACAAAGTGGGTGCTCTGTGGTCACCCTACAGAGACATGTAGGGTGAGTGGGGACAGGCTCTTTTTGGACCAGATGGATTCACAGCCAAATTCTACCAGAGGTACAAAAAGGAGCTGGTACCGTTCCTTCTGCAACTGTTCTATTCCAAGCAATAGAAAAAGAGGGACTCCTCCCTAAGTGATTTTATGAGGCCATTATCATCCCGATACCAAAACCTGGCAGAGACACAACAAAAAAAGAAAATTTCAGGCCAATATCCCTGATGAACATATATTCAAAAATCCTCAATAAAATATTGACAAACCCAATCCAGCAGCACATCAAAAAGCTTATCCACCACGATCAATTCAGCTTCATCCCTGGGATGCAAGGCTGGTTCAACATACGCAAATCAATAAACGTAATCCATCACATAAACAGTAGCAATGACAAAAACCACACGATTATCTCAATAGATGCAAAAAAGGCCTTCGATAAAATTCTACAGCCCTTCACGCTAAAAACTCTCAATAAACTAGGTACTGATAGAATGTATCTCAAAATAGTAAGAGCTATTTATGACAAACCCACAGCCAATATTTGAATGGACAAAAACTGGAAGCATTCCCTCTGAAAACCAGCACAACACAAGGATGACCTCTCTCACTACTCCTATTCAACATAGTGCTGGAAGCTCTAGCCAGGGCAATCACACAAGAGAAAGAAATAAGTATTCAAATAGGAAGAGAAGAAGTCAAATTGTCTCTGTTTGCAGATGACATGATTTTACACTTAGAGAAACCCATCGTCTAAGCCCAAAATCTCCTTAAGCTGATAAGCAACTTCAGCAAAGTCTCAGGATACAAAATCAATGTGCAAAAACCACAAGCATTCCTATACACCAATAATAGACAAACAGAGAGCCAAATCATGAGTGAACTCCCATTCACAACTGCTATAGAGAGAATAAAATACCCAGGAATACAACTTACAAGGGATGTGAGGGACCTCTTCAAGGAGAACTACAAACCACTGCTCAATGAAATAAGAGGACACAAACAAATGGAAGAACAGTTCCTGCTCATGGATAAGAAGAATCCATAGCGTGAAAATGGCCATAATGCCCAAAGTAATTTATGGTTTCAGTACTATCCCCATCAAACTACCATTGACTTTCTTCACAGAATCAGAAAAAAACTACTTTAAATTTCATATGGAACCAAAAAAGAGCCCACATAGCCAAGGCAATTCTAAGCAAAAAGAAGAAAGCTGGAGGTATTATGCTACCTGATTTCAAACTATACTACAAGCCTACAGTAATCAAAACAGCATGGTACTGGTACCAAAACAGATATATAGACCAATGGAACAGAACAGAGGCCTCAGAAATACCACCACACATCTGCAACCATCTGACCTTCAACAAACCTGACAAAAACAAGCAATGGGGAAAGGATTCCCTATTTAATAAATGGTGCTGGGAAAACTGGCTAGCCGTATGAACTGAAACTGGACCCCTTCCTTGCACCTTATACAAAAATTAACTCAAGATGGATTAAAGTCTTAAATGTAAGATCTAAAACCATAAAATCCCTAGAAGAAAACCTAGGAAATACCATTCAGGACATAGGCATGGGCAAAGACTTCATGACTAAAACACCAAAAACAATGGCAACACAAACCAAAAGTGACAAATGGGATCTAATTAAACTAAAGAGCTTCTGCAAGGCAAAAGAAACTATCATCAGAGTGAATAGGCAACCTGCAGAATGGGAGAAAAATTTTGCAATCCATCCATCTGAGAAAGGGCTGATATCCAGAATCTACAAAGAACTTAAACAAATTCACAAGAAAAAAACAACCCCATCAAAAAGTAGACAAAGGATATGAACAGATACTTCTCAAAAGAAGACATTTATGCAGCCAACAAACATATGAAAAAAGCTCATCATCACTGGTGCAAATCAAAACCACAATGAGATACCATCTCATGACCGTTAGAAAGGCAATCATTAAAAAGTCAGGAAACAACAGATACTGGAGAGGATGTGGAGAAATAGTAACACTTTTACACTGTTGGTGGGACTGTAAACTAGTTCAACCATTGTGGAAGACAGTGTGCAATTCCTCAAGGATCTAGAACCACAGATACCATTTGACTCAGCAATCCCATTACTGGGTATATACCCAAAGGAATATAAATCATTCTACTATAAAGACACATACACATCATGTTTATTGTGGCACTATTCACAATAGCAAAGACTTGGAACCAACCCAAATGTCCATCAATGATAGACTGGATAAAGAAAATGTGGCACATATACCCATGGAATACTATGCAGCCATAAAAAAGGATGAGTTCATGTCCTTTGCAGGCACATGGGTGAAGCTGGAAACCATCATTCTCAGCAAACTAACACAGGAACAGAAAACCAAACACCACATGTTTTCACTCGTTAGTGGGAGTTGAACAATGACACATGGACACATGGTGGGGAACACCACACACCCGGGCCTGTCAGGGGGTAGGGAGGCTAGGAGAGGGATAGCATTAGGAGAAATACCTAATGTAGATGATGGGTTGATGGGTACAGCAAACCACCATGGCACGTGTATACCTATGTTACAAACCTGCACGTTTGGCACATGTATCCCAGAACTTAAAGTATTAAAAAAAAAAAAAAAAAAAAAAGAGGTGAGTCTTCTTCTGGTCCTTTAAGTAAGTGATGGAAGGGAAGTGGCAGAGCAGGAGGGAGGGTGCTCAGGAAGAATGACACCAAATGGAAAAAGGCTGCCTGGCTGCTTTGGATGGGCAATTATACAGAGGAACATGTGTGATGGTAGTTCTCATCAATTTACTCCGGTAAAGCTGTTGTTTAGACTTTAATACTAGCCACGTCTATTTCCTGACCACTTCAGTGCTAAAGCCATTAGGTGGGGCTGAGCAAGGTAGGTGTAGTGCCAGCTGGGCTGGGGTGGGTGATAGTTGTGGGGGCTCAGTGAAGGGTGTCAGAATCCCAGCAAAATGAGGCTCCCCCCTTTCTCCTCCACTTTCACCCCTTAGAAGGCACCTGGTCAAGGAAACTGGAATGTGATGAGCAGAGCAAGGGTCCTTCCACATAGAGGCACCTGGGGCAGGTTTCAGAGCCTGATTTTTTTAAATTTTGAAATGCACCTTTATTATTTCACAGTTAAATTCAAATTACTATTAGAATAAAATTCATTCATTCATTCGAATTATCACTTAGTAATATGCAATCTGGGAACCATTGTAGCTACTAGATGAAACTTTTTTTTTTTTTTTTTGAGACGGAGTCTCACTCTGTCACTCAGATTGGAGTGCACTGGTGCAATCTCAGCTCACTGCAACCTCTGCCTCCTGGGTTCAAACAATTCTTCTGCCTCAACCTCCCAAGTAGCTGGGACTACAGGTGCGTGCCACCACACCCAGCTAATTTTTGTATTCTTAGTAGAGACGGGGTTTCACCAATGTAAACACTACTCTTGACCTGACAGGCAGCTTTTCCTTATAATCTGGTGACACCACCCACAACCCCCAGATTGACGAGGGATTGTTTCTTATGGTGTAGAGATAGGAGTTTGAAATAGGGGTTCAAACCCCAGTTATGTCACTAGCTCTGTGACATACACAAGTTTCTTCTCTCTCTGTCTCTGGGAAGCTTCTCACTATGAAATTCTTATTTCACAGAGTTGGAATAAATGAAAGCACTTTATAATCTGCCATTATTTGAACCACTCAACCCAGACATATAGTCTGAAGTAAAAGATGGAAGCCACAGACAATAAGAGTTATATCTGTATGCAAAATGATGGCACTCTGTCAGCTAAAGACCCTGGAGAGAAGACTGAGTTCACACGTAAAGGTTCCTTTTATCTTTAACTGAAAGAGGTAGAATCCAGCACATTTGTGAAGGAGCATGTTTCCTGTTTAGAGTTGCCCTGCCCCAGAGCCACACTCTCCACCTTAGCCCTTTTTTCAGAGGGTAATGGTCAAGAATGAAGGTGCTTGTGCATTAATCCTGACACAACCATTTACTGTCTGGATGACTTAACATCTTTGGGCCTCAGTTTCCTTACCTGGAAAATGATGCTAATTATCCCTACCTCATAGAGTTGTGAGGATTAAAGAAGTTGATGTTTATCAAGTACTTAGAGCAGTCCCTTGCAAATACAAAGTGCTTAAAACACATTGGCCATTATCTTCTCACAGTCAATGTTTCTATAGGAACAAAAAATTGGCTTGTGACCTCAAGGTAATTTGCCATAACATGATACAGACTGCCCCAGCACTCACTGCCAGTGCCAGAGAAGAAGGATGGCCCCATTTGAACTTGGGAAGTGGCTATTCTGAAGAATTAGAATCTCTTGCCCAGAGCATGTGGCTGAGAGGCAGAATGTGAAGCACCTTATTTATTTCATCTGGGCTTTCTCATGTTTACAGGGAGCTGGCATTTCTCTGTCATTCAAAAGAAGGAAAAAAAAAAAAGTCAACGATTGGTCATTCTATTATCAAAGAAGATAACATTTTATCAACTTTTCTTAGATATCTCACATATTCTTCCTTCCAAAAGCACTTGAAGCTTAATTTAGTCAATGACTGGTCAAAGGGAGAAAAGTGACCATTACAATTTGTCATTCACCCAATAATTGTAATCAAAGTAATAACAGCAATAATAGTAATAGTTAACATTTATTATATACATATTGTGGACAACGTTTTATCGTAAGTACTTTACAGAGAATATCTCATCGTAAATCTTCCAAAAACCCTAGGGGATATTATCCCCATTTTACAGAAGGGAAAATAATCCCCAAGTTTCCTAATAACAGGATATCAGGGAGATTTCAATAGAAGAGTCAAGCCAACAAAAACAAATTCAGCAGACAATGGAAATTCTGTTGGGAAATAACACCCCCAGTGGCTCTATCACTCAGCACCAAGAACACCTCCAATGACTGTATGAGTTTCTAGCAACATGGTAACTTTCAGTTCTCGGAAATGTCCAAACAGAGAGCAAGTCATGTGAAAAGATACTTAAGATTGAGCCACTTTCCATTCCTTGAAAATTTAGATCTATGCTTAAAGTTTGCTTCTAGCCTGTCTATATTAGTAGGAGTTGTATTCATCAAGTTGTTTAGAAGTAGTGTTTGTTTAATCAGGGCTTTTTGATGTACAAAGCACTTTTAATTCATTATCTCATCTGATTATTTTCAATGATGGTGACAAATAGAAGTCTTTGTTGCCATTTTATACATAAAATTGAGGCTTAAAATGTCCTCAAGCCCCAGAACTGGATACCAAAACCCTGTCTTCTGCCTCATGTCCCATCTTATGCTTTCATCTTTCAATAAGATGGAGAAGCGAGATTCGTGCACAGGGTAAAATTTTGTTTCAGCACCACACACTAGATACCCAACTAGATCAAAGGATTAATAAGAGCATGTCACCAGCTGGGGATAGATGTATCAAACAGAGATCGTGGGTTAACTGGTATTCAGATTGGGCCAAACACCTTCAAACTTTACTGCAAACAGTTAACAAAATCACAGTGGAATATAGATGCTTTTTATGTTCCAGAAAACAGTCTTTGGACCACCTCAAAAGAAATTCTGTCAAAGCTGTTTTTCTTCTTTAATCCAGGTTGGCTAGTAGCCAAAGAAACAAGGTCTTCATTGCCCACTTCAGTCCTCAACATTTCAACTGAAAAGGGAAGCTTAGGCATAGTGCTTTATAAAATACCATCGGGTGATTAGGGCTTAGAGACATTTCCTGACGTCTAATGGAGATAAGGAATGAAGGCTCCAGAACCAGTTGAGGTACAATTCACTCCCCTGATAGCTAAGCAGAAAAAGAGCTAACACTGGAGTCACCCAGTTTCCCTCTGGAATGTCCCTCTGAGTTTGAGGAAATTCATGTCATCACCTTCCCACCATTCAATAGTCATGGTTATTAGTGGTATCCAAAGATATTCAGAGTCAAATTTAGGTCACATGGGGCCAAACAATGGAATTCCTGCTCTCAAGGACAGAGGAACACTCTAATTTCATTTTCACGGTCAGCATACACGCAATTTCCACCCCAGACATTTGTTGTCCAAAACACTGCCTAAACTTGAGTGCTATGATGTGAAATATATATCTGAAGTTCTGTGGCCTCTTCAGGGGACTGGGGTGTCACCCTGCTTGGCTTCTCTGATCAAAAAAGACTTTCAGCCCAGAGAACCCCTGGCTTCCAACTTGAGGACAGATCCCTAGAAAAGCCCTGGGCCCCTTTTGGATGTGGTACTGTGTAAGGTGAGAGCTTCATTGGAGTTAGAACTTAGGACTCTGAACACTTCACAGCTCAGATCATGGTTTCTTTGGATCTAGAGCAATTGGGAGAGGTGTAGAGAAGGGGCAAAGGGGACAAATTCAGCTCCTGGAAAGAACTGCCAAGATCTCAGAATAGAGATTTTTTTTTTTAATGCCTCAAGGAAAGCACAAAAAAGAAAGCATTCATCACTTCTGCAAGGAAACCTTCCCTAATTACATTGAAATAAAAATACCCTTCCTCCGGCAACCCCCTCTGCCATTCCCCTTGAGTATCATGTTATGCTGGCAATTTACAATTTCACTGCCAGAGCAAAACACTCCTGTGCAGGTTACTCTCATATATTTGGTTGACATTCAGAATCCTGATATCTCAAAAAGTGATACTGCTTCTGTGAGCCTATCCTGTTACTTATAGATCCATCATGTTCATTTTGGCTTATAAGCCCCAGTGGAGCAGAGATGATACCCATTTTGCTAGTTTAACATATACATCAACACAAATATTCTTACCCTACCTTATAATCTAAATCTCCATTATGTATTTTCTCAAGTGAGTCCAATTAGAAATTATTAGATGATACTGTGTACTTTTTCAAACCCATCAAGCTATTGCTGATCCAAAAGGGAAACAGCTCCCTTCAGCTTCTAGTGAAAAGCCCTTCTGTTAGACAAACTCCCTCTCTATAATTAGCTAACATTTCTTTCAACTTTGGCAGCAAGAACAAATAGGCCACTTCAAACATGAAGAGTTTAAGAAGGTTCCGTGGAAAATGAGCATAGGTGCACATAGCTGTTGGTAGGGATAGTTACTTCTGCACAGCACACAGAATGCTCACATTTGGTCATTTTTATCTGCTAAGAGTAGGCTGAGAACCAAGAAATAAACATGGCATCTGGCCCTGAATTGCAACTATTTTTTGCAATTTGCAATCAAAATACTTTAAAGAACACTTGCTTAAGAGATTGACTGATTCATAATAAAGCATCCGGTTCTCCCACCTGTATAACCAGAGCTGTCAGGAACACACTGCAAATGACAATCCTTTTGCTTCAACACACAATGTCAGATTCTTCCCCCATGCTCTCTTGTCTTCCCTAAAATGCCATGTATGACTGCCATGCCATAAAACCAAGTACCATAATGCCCTGATGCTGCATCCAATTTCTTAACCCCAGGGACCTCCAGGGCATCCAAGCTCATCCAGAGTTTATCAAGATCCATCAGGGAGCAGCAAGCCCCACTAGGGAAGGAGGTGGAGGTAGGGGAGTTACCATCTACTGAGAATGTATCACGCTGCAAAAGCTGGAGTTGTATTATCCCATCAAACGCTCACAAGCACTCCAGGAGTATATATTCTTCATTTTGCGTACGAAAAACTAATGATGAAAAAGTTTAACGAACATGCTAAGCCACATGTTTCAAGTTTGGATCTCAAGTTAAATGCCATGCTCTTTCCACTGCATCACAGGCTCCAATTTTGGAGCATGGGCACAGGGCATGGGAACATGAGAAATTTTAGGAGTTGATTTTTTATCTTAAAAATCAAGAATAAGTCAGCATTGATTTTAAATTTTTCTTACATATAACACTTTGGAAAGAATGTAGAAAACTTAATAAAGGATAGGAACATGGAAGATATGGAATCAGGTAAGAAATTTACTGCAATATTCCAGGAGAGAGTTGATAAGGGCTGGAAATAAGTTGTCTACCAGCTAGGATTCCTTCATTTTGAACAACATAAACAAACGAAAACATCCATTCAAACCCTCTAGCTACTTTGAAAGAGCTTTCATTGGAAGGGTTTGGTGGGCTCACATGATTGACAGAAAGCAGGACAGCCAGGCCTGTGAATGTACCACAACCAAGGAGAGAGACCCTGGTGTAGCAAGACCAGTCTGGTTGGGATGCTTCTGCCACCACCCTGCCCTCAGTGGCTTCCAACCATTCTTCTACCCTTCCACCCCTTAGTCAAGTTTCAGAGACCTGGATCAGAGCAGCTAGTTGGCCAAATTTAGGTTACATGCCAAAGATCTAGTTTGAGGAATGGGCAAGGAGGAAGGATCTTGCACTCTGGGATTCCATAGTGGAATGCATGTACTGGAATTACTTCCCAACAAGTGGACACACAATCAGTGAGAGCTATCCCCCAGTGGAAATCAGAGTACTACTCAGAAGATGGAATGGATGCTGAGCAGCCAAAAGCTGATCAATGCTCAGAAGAAGTGCTGACAGTGGATCAGAGGAAGAGAAAATGGCATTTGAAGTACCATAGGCATCAAACACTTACTGAGAGCCTACGATGTGTAAGGCAGTAGGCGAGTGTGACTGGAGACATACGGAAGTATAAAGCACTGACTTGGATTTAAAAGGCTCACACAGAAAAGAGGATCTAAACACCAGAAAATAAATGACAACATTAAGTCATATATATCATGTGCCAGATAAATGGTATGGATAACAACACCTATGAGATTCAGAGAATGGAAAGATTACCAAATCTAAAGTAATTTGGAAAGTCACCTTAGATGCAGTGGAACTTAAATTGTATTTAGGATTTAGGCCACCTAACAGAAAAAGAGAGCTCTCTATGCAGGGAGGATGATCTGAGCAGAGGCATGGAGATGCAACATCCAAAGTACATTTAGGAATCAATTGATACACAGTTGTCTAAGCAAAAGAATTCGTATGAGAAATCCTTTCTGACTGAGAGAATGATATTTAAAATCCAATAAAAGTACATTTTCCCATTTCTTCTTCTGTAGCTGACCTTGTTTAATCACTCAGGAGTTCTATTTCTCAAGACTTTAGGGAGGAAAGTAAGGAAGGTGTTGTATTTGTAGGACTGAGGGGTTGGGCTCAAATATGTCAGTGGTTGTGAGAGAAGAAAGAAAGCAGACCTGAGAGAGACCTGCATTGCGTTCCAAGTTCCGGACTCCCCTTCCTGGACCAGGGCCAGGCTGGCTTGGGCCAAACTCATCCAGGTCATTGTCAGGATGCCTGATGCCCTAATCTACCCTGACTGCCCCATTATCCTCCCTGCTCTTTCTCCTTTCCATCATTCAACAACATTGTCTCTCACCAACCTCCAGAGCCAAGCCCCAGGAAGAGGGGTGAATCTAAAACAAGGAGAGAAGCCTGGATCCTCCTGGATTCTGGCCCGCCAATGGCAGAGGTCTTTTTAGAACCAGATCTAATGGGACCACTGCTCCACTCTAGGGCTTGCTCATCTTCAGCATTCCCACTTCCCATAAGTGGTACTGCAGATGGGGTAAAAAGACAACATGCTTGGCTACAGTGAATAATCCTGCAATGAACATAGGAGTGCTCATATCTCTTCAAGTTCCTGATTTCAATTTTTTTTTTGGATAAATACCCAGAAATGGGATTGCTGGATCATGTAATTCTATTTTTAAATTTTTTTTAGAAACTTCTATATATTTTTTTACATAGCAACTGTGTCTTTTTGCATGTCCACCAACAGTGTGCAAAAGTTTCAATTTCTATATATCCAATACTTGCCAACACTTATTATCTTTTGTTTTTGTGTAATACATAATATCCATTCTAACAGATGGGAGGTGATATCTTATTGTGGTTTTATTTGCATTTCTCTAAGGATTAGTGACATTGAGCATTTTTTCATAAACCTGTTGATTATTTGTATGTCTTATTTGGAGAAATGCCTATTCAAGTCTTTAGACCACTTTTAATTGGGTTATTAGCTGTTTTTTTTCTTACTATTGTATTGTAAGAACAACCTAAATATCTATCAACAGATAAGTGGATAAAAAGTGTGGTATATACATATGATGGAACACTATTCAGCCTTAAAAAGGAAGAAAATCCTAACATATATAACAACATCGATGTAACCCCAAGGTCATTATGCTAAGTGAAACAAGCCAGCTGCAGAAAAACAAATACTTCTTTATTCTACTTCTATGAGGTATCAAAGATAGTCAAATTCATAGAATCAAAGAGTGGAATGGTAGTTTTCCAGGGCTGGAAGGAGGAACAAATGGGGAGATACTAACCAAAGGGCGTAAAGATTCAGTCAAGTAAGATGAATAAGCTCTAGGGATCTTCTACACAACATTGTACCTATAGTCAACAATGACATATCATGTGTTAAGAGGCTAGATCTCATGTTAAGTGCTCTTACCACAATGAAATAATAAAATGACAATGTAATAATTACATCTCCAGCTGCTTACTTGTAGGAATCAGTCAAGCCTTCAGAGAGTCCTGCCAGCAGTTCTAGATGCCTGCATTTCCAGACACCTACAGACATCAGGAGGTGGCCAACTGCTCATTTTTCAATTTTTCCCTTTCCCAGTTCTGGGGCATGATGCACCAAGCTCAGTACATTGCATCCATCAAACAGGGCTGCAGAGGGTCAAGATGTGCACCAACTGCAGGCATACAGGAAGCATTAACAATGGGTTTTTCCTTTAAAGAGACTCAGAAGAGTGCAGGGAGCATTTTTCCCATAAGAAAGAGACAGCTCAGGCAGCTTGCTTCCTTCTATCGTCTTATTTTTACTGTGAATCATGGTAGCATTCGTCACTTTTAAAACCTAAACCCCAATTTGCCACCAACGTGAAGGGTATTTAAGTGCTTTCCATGTTTCTAATTCTTTACAACATTCAGCAGGCTAATCTGGAGAAGCCAGAGATGTAGGTCAGGCCCTCAAGCAGCTCAGTGGAGATACAAGATCTAACTGCATGAAGTTCAACACTGAGATACCCCTGGGATAGTGTATTAATCCATTCTCACGCTGCTATAAAGTACTGCCTGAGACTGTGTAATTTATGAAGGAAAGGGGTTTAATTGACTCACAGTTCTGCACGGGTGGGGAGGCCTCAGGAAACTTACAATCATGATGAAAGGGGAAGCAAACAGGTCTTTCTTCACATGGCAGCAGGAAGAAGTAGTGCCTAGCAAAAGAGGGAGAAGCCCCTTATAAAACCATCAGATCTCATGGGAACTCACTATCACAAGAATAGCATGAGGGTAACTGCCCCCATGATTAAATTACCTCCCACCAGGTCCATCCCACAACACGTGGGGATTATGGGAACTACAATTCAAGGTGAAATTTGGGTGGGGATACACAGCCAAACTGTATCAGGTACCTAATTCCTTTCATTGACCATCTGGTTTATTATGCATGAGGAGCCACACAACACTTGGGCAAGTTGGAATGAAACCAAAATAAGGCTTGTATAATTCACCATACAATTATGACAGAATTTGATGCAGATAAAATTATAAAAATACAAAAATAAATAAATAACTACATTTCATAACAGAACATTCCAAATATCCTCTGCACCGTGATTGTACTAGATTGATTAAAAATTACACTATTCACACTGTGACTTTGTAGCTCTTCCCATTAAGAAATGAAGTCTATCACCTTACTCCTTGAATTCAGACTTGGCAATGTGACTTGGTTTGTCTAAGAGAAGTGAAGGTGTTGGTATTCCACTTCCACTTCCAAGCCTAGGCTCCAGGGGCCCAGCATGTTTCTGCTAGCACTTTTAGAACCCTGTCTCCATCATGCAAACAATCGCAGGCTAGACTGCTAGATAATGAGAGATTAGGTGCAACAACTGGGATGCTAGGCCAGCAGCCTCAAGTGACTTGGCAACTGACCACAGACACATGAGTGATCCCGGCTCACATGGGAAAGACCACCAGCCCAGATTTTGAACCTATAAAAATGTAAGCTAAATACATGGTTTTTTATGTCAGTGATTTATGGGTTGGTTTGTTATACAGTGATAGGTAACTGATACAATTCCTCTTAGGTTTTGATACCCTATTTCTTCTTGGACCTCAGGAATCAATGCTATTGTTCCATCCACAGCTACACTATCACCACTCTACACAACTGCCCCATGGTCCCTGCACATGATATTAATACATCCAGGTCACTTCTGAATCTTACAGTTAACATGTCTGAGATTTCTATTTAGTCTTGCCAATCCTTACTTTTCATCCCCGCTATCATCAGGCCTCTATTTCATTTGCTGGACATTGGAAATGTGTCCTAATTGGTCTTGCTTCTAGTTTTTTCTTGTTCTAGCCAATCTCACTCTCTATTGGTTTGGTCTGACAATGCCACTTTGTACGTCGCATCTTGTCTTTCTGTGGTCCCTCACTGTCTAGAGAATTAGGTTGAATTTAAGGTCAGGATGAAACAAAAATAAATGGTATTGAATACCCACTATGTGCCACACAAAGTTGAATAAGATACAGAAGCGTAAGTCTACTTAGATTGAAAAACGCACTCTTTAATCCAATTCCATTCCACCTCTACAGATTCCCACTCCACAACTTACCTACCTAAAACATCTGCCCCACCTCTTAAACATGAAGCTACTCTGGCATTTTTGTTCATGTGAGTTATCCCAAATCCACTGCCTAAAATGCCCTCTCTACATTTCCCAGCGTCTGTCTTCCTTCAATGCCCAATTTGAGTCCTAACTCTTCTGAAACTTTCTCCTACTGCCCCCCATCCAGGTCATCTCTCTCTTCAGTATCTCTTGCCTCAATTCTTTCATGCTTCCTTAGCTGTCAGCTGGGGCATCTGTATGGCCGGTCACTACACTAGCCTTGAGACCAGGGACCATGACTTATCCCCCTCCAGCACCCAGCACAGTGCCAGACCCACATGCCTGAGGGTGATAGTAATACTAGGTCACAAAGGACTAAAAAGCTCTTTCCCAAGACAATATAAAGTGTTGGCTCTCCTGCCTTTAAATAAAAGTCTTAATTTTATATGCTTAATTTTATGTATTTGTTTTGATTTTTAAAAAGCACAGACCCTCACCATCCCTGCCATGACTCACAAGGAGTCAGGTAAAAGAAGGGACGCTTCCTAACATGTATTAGGTTGATGCAAAAGTAATTGTGGTTTTTACCATTGATAGCTACCACTTACTGAACACTCACTAAGTGCCAGGCACCACCATGCACATTTCATTTGTATTTTCATACTTAAATTTTACAACATCCCATGTGGTACACATTATTACCTCCATTTTATAATAAAGGAAACTATTAGCACGATTGAATATTCTATCAAAAATCCCACAGCCAGCAGGGACAGAGTTAGGAGTCAGCCCTCTTCTGCCCAAGCCCAAAGCATGTGTTCTTAAGTAAGCTATCATGCCCCTGATTTCTGTGATTCTTTTGATCTTAGGACATATGAAGCTGCCTTTTATCATTATTGTACCTCCCCATCAATAGTCCTTATCTTCTAGCCTGGTTTATAGTTCCATGGAACCTAGCTAACCTAGTACTTCATGCAGCAGACAGAATTATGCCCCCACCCCAAAGATGTCCATGTCTTCATTCCCAGAACCTGTGAATATATGTTATATGGCATGCGGGAATGGAGACTGCAGATGGAACTAAGGTTGTTCATTAGCTGGCCTAGAGATGGGGAGACTATGCGGCATTATCCAATGGGCCCGTGCAATCACAGGGGTCTTTGTCACTGAAAGAGGGAGGCAGGAGGGTCAGGGAAGGAAGTGTGAAAGCAGAAGCAGAGATCAGAGTGATCCAATTGCTGGGGGGCTGGGGCCCAAAGCCATAGGGTGCGGGTGGCCTCTAGAAGCTGGAAAAGGTAAAGAAACAGATTTTCCCCTGCACCCTCCAAAAAGAATGTTTAGTTTTAGCCCAGTGAGACCCATTTCAGACTCCTGACCTCCAGAGCTATAAGGTAATAAATCTGTGTCCTTTTGAGCCACTGAGCTTGGGGTAATTTGTTATAGAAGCAACAGGGAATGATTATACCTTTCCATAGAAACAATTAGGGCCAATTTATGGTCTGATACTTTGTCAAGACTTCTCTCAGGAGTTACAGTCTGAATAATTATAAGGAATTTTTAAATTCAACCTCTATTACTGAGGCATCATAAATTGTTTCTACAATTAAACTGGAGAAAGTTTTTGAAGAGCCACTTCAAAAACGTCTAAAAAGAAAGGCAGAGAGCTGACCCCTCTCTCCTCTCCTGTGCTCATACGCTGGGTAGAAATATGCTCCATTCAAGTTCTGATTAGCTGAGATTTCCTGTGGAACTAATGTGCTCTTGCTAGTTTCTAAATGATGTTTTTCTCCTCCCAGTAAAATCAAGAACTGCCAATAAGGTGCAGGCCAGTTGCTGGGCCCGCTCTCTCTCACACATACCATATACACAAATAGGAAGATGGTCTCCGTGGCTATAATTTCCTGGCCAGCAAGTGTCTTGGGTTTCACTTCAGTGGTTAATGATGTGTCCACCCGGGCGCCTTGGCATGGGGCATTTCCAACCTTCAATTAAAGGACTATCATTTACTCTATATATTAACATCCAGAACAATAAACACAGTGGAACACAGTCATTAGAGGCAGCCATAATCCATGGCCTGCTGTGTACTGATGTCAACCCTGCTGCGTTTGACATCTGAAATAATCCCAAAGAAAGCACTGCATTTTCAAAGCCGGGACTACGTTAAGGATATCCACCCCTGGCTGCATTCCATCTTTCCACCTCCATCTTCCAATCTATCAACATCTTGGTTCAATCTCAGAGTTAAAAACCCCTTGTCTTTCACAGAAAGACATCCAGGCTAACCTTCTCTTTTGCTGGGAAGAATGCCACCAGTTTTCAGTTGACTGAACCTAGTGGGCCTTCACTGTAATAATAAAACCAATCCTGGATAAATCGTAATTCCTAATCTAAAGGATGTCAGAATGAAGTCGGATTGAAGACATACCACCGACACAAAACAAACAACCCTGAGCATGGGGTGCGCAAAGAAAGCAGAGAGATACAGAAAACCAGCAAAAGAAAAGTTGTCTCAAACTTAGCCGAAATGTGGAGCCACATGAAAAGTGCAGTAATTCTTCCTTCACCTCAGGGCTCATGTCTGTTGCATCTTTTCAACACAGCACAATTGTGATTTCTAGGGGTCCAGCTACCTAGATTTTTTGAGCTGAACTCTTTCTTCAAGGGGATGCAAAATTAAAACAATTCAAAACCTCCTCTGCCAGGGAGTGGGGGTGGCAGGAAAGGGGAATCTCGGGGTGTTTATTGTACACTGACAGGTTGAACAGGAGAGAGGTACTTGGGTCACTGAGGCGATGGAAAGATGCTGTACAGTTAGATGGGAAGCAAGAACACAAAGAAAGCCTTTTCAGCAGACCAGGGGACTGCAGGGCCCAACAACCTCTAAGACTGGGATAAAAGCAGGCTTTATTCATTCAGGAGACTGCAGCAACTGCCTACTGCCTGACTGGTAAATCTCATCCCAGCACCGTCCCTGAGAGGGGGTCTAATCTGATTGGTTGTCCCATTTAATCTGCGGCATCCCGATTGGGAGGTGCTGTTAGACTTGCCCACTTCACAGGCAGGGGCCACCTCCACGGAGCCCGTAGAGGCTGCCTGCAGCTGAGCCACCAATGCCCGGCCTGTTGGGTGGCAGCGGAGCCAGCAAATTACCAGACACAGCACAAGGAAACGCCATGCACCAGAGCAGCATTCCTCAGAAGGAGACTTGGGAACACAGCAGGCAGGCAGATGCCCTGTGTGCCTGTGTGTATATATCTTTAAAATCAAATGGAAGTGACACTACTCTTCTGAGTTACCTATGCCATTATTCCTCTTCACCAATTGTTTTTCATTTTGCCTTTTTTTCTTTGGATAAAGTTTTATGCACCATGCTTGGGTTGCAGAAGCAGATCCAAAGAAGTCTCAGCACACCACCCGATTCTCTGAGCACAGGCTCTGGGGACTTTTTGGAAATGACTGTGCCTCAATGCAGAGAGAGGGTTTTTCCAAGTTACCAAGTGCACTTTCTGTTCTTAACACCCAGGGGGGCGTGGAGAAAGTGAGAGGATCTGTGGTGGCTTCCTGGGCGTGCCCATGGAAAGTGCTTACTCTTCTTTGCACACCTCACACCTGGGTCCCTGGTCCACTCACAAACCTGGTAGATTCACTCTTTCGAACCATTCTGGCCGGCTGTACCTGTGGGCTTTCACTGTGCGTGGCCGCCCCCTGCTGGAACAGCCTGGAACTGACCGCCAGTGACACCTAGGGCCGACACCTGGCCAGCGCAGGGAGGTGTGAGAGAACAGATTGTCAAGTTCATTCCATGGCATTCATTCCAGAGGGAGCCACTAAACTGGCCTTGACACACAGGAATCTGTTTAATAATCCTGTGGAGACCTAAAGTCTACAAATCCCTATGGTAACTCCTCTGAGAGTTTAATCACCCTCTCTCAGAAATATTTTCCCTATTTGTGATCTGAACGATGTTTCTGTTTAATTTCCAACTGATCTGATTTAATCAGGGATGAAAAGCAGCTGCTGTCATTTCTCTGGGCAAAAGCCCTTTATAGGCCTGGAGAAAGATTAACGAATGTGCCTCACTTCCCAGGAAAAGTCCTAAGCTTTACTTTCCTTTAATATGACTTTATTTAGCCTATTTTTAAATGCGTTATCTCTGTGGCTCTCTTCTGAATGCTCTCATCTTCTCCACATTTCTCCTTACTTAGGGACATGATGCCCCTAGTGAGAATCTGGCTGAAGCCAAGTATGATGCTGATACTCTCATGTGTACCCCTCTAGATGACCACTTTTTTGGCAAATATTTTTTAAGCACCTACTATGCGTGAGGCACACAGGTAAGGTCCCTGTGGGTTATAGATGGACTCATGGACTTTCCAAAAAGCAGGAGAAGCTAGTCCTAGAATGCCTGCACACAGATCACTCTAATTGTGTATAAGATAGGAGGAGGCAACAGTGTAACTGGAGACCAGCAAACAGGGAGAATGCTTTCAGCCAGTGTGTATGGAAGGTTTCATGGAGATGTGGGAACTGAACTGGTCTTTGAAGGATATGTAGAATTCGGCTGGACCAGAGAAGGGGAAACAGCATTCCATGCAGAGAGGACAGCCTGAGGAAAGCTCCAGAGGCAGAGGACACAGGGCATAGATCTGATGAGCTGGAAGTGGTTGCATTTGAGTAAGTCAACAGGGACTACAGAAAACATCCACTGGGCCAGGTTGTGGAGGCCTTCCCTATAATGGGAAGGCAATAAAGAATCCAGAGGCTGCCTTCACTTCTTAGAACTCCTGTTTGATTTTATTAACTTGAAGATAGCTTGTTTTTCACCATGCTGATCCTAAATCATTCTCAGCTGTTCTTAGCGTCACTATGTCCCCATCTAGTATTGGCTCTTGATTTTGATTCGTTTGCTCCAAGTCCCTGTTTGGGTATTACTCTGTTGTTTCTCGATTTCCGAGAAATCTGTCTTGCCCTGGCTTATGCACTCCCACTTTCTTAACCCAACCTTTGGTAAGATCGGTTGCAGCTGACCAGCTCTGTCATCTCATTTCTTTCCCTGAAGCAGTGGGTCTTTGATACTCCCTCGTTCCCTTTAGGAGACTTCGAAAGGCAGGACACCTGCAAGTGACACGCTGGGCAAGTTGCCTGCCCATTGTGGCCTTAGTGTTCTCATTTCTTAAAAGAGAAGGGAGGCACCTCTTTGACCTCTACAAGCATTTCTGAAGCTTACGCTCCATAAGGCAATAACCTCAACTATTTCTGTCCACAGGCCATACCCCCAGCAGCCATTTCCATGGAATAGTTTCATCTTTCCTGGAAGAATGTGCCGATGAAATTGACTGAAAATGGACTTTGAAACAAATTGGACCTGCTGGAAAGTCAACCAGCTTTGAGGTATTTATTTCCAACTGGGATGAGAATAGAGGAAAAGATGAGAACAGGCCCAGCTTGCCTTCTTGCCAAAGGGCCTCTCCCCAGGAGATACTTTCAAAGACAAGATGATGGATTAGAAAGCACGGAAAGAAGCTACAGGTGGCACGCAGCACTCTGCTCCCTTCTTGAATCTGCCAGACGCTCCCTGTCCTTCACGTCTTTTGGTCATCAGGCTGGCCCTGCTTGATTGACTCTGCCATCAGAAGCAAGACTTTCCTTCCAGCATGGTTCTCTCTAGATCCAGGTACTTTGCAGGACCCAATTTACCCATATCCACAGGGGACATGTCTCACACATGGCTGCCTCATGCCACTTACCACCCTGACGCTCAGTCTTCTCTCTGGTAGTAATCGCCTTTACCATATGTTTGGCAGGAGTGTAAGATAAAAAGTGCTAACACCCAGCAAGTTACTAAACTGTCAGCCTCAATTTCCTGTCAGGCACTAGAATTAATAAGAGCCCATACATCATGAAGAATCTAGAGGATCCTGAAGATAACCGGAGGAGGACAGAACTAGGGCACGGAGTGCAAGGTCATGGAGAATAACTCTACTTTCTGCATACTTCTAAACTGCTTTTATTATTATTGGTATGTTTCCGTAGAGTGACTCCACATTCGTTATTTTAATTCTTATGATAGCCTTGTAAACTTACATGTTATAATCCCATTTTGTAGACGAGGAAACTAAGGTTTTGATGTTCTTTTCCCTTACGGTGAGTGAACTTGACAACTATTCTCATACATTTCTTGGACTGAAGGGCAGAAAATATGAGCTGTTGAGACAGAGTCTAATGATAGAAGATTTGAAATGTTTCCAACACAAAGAAATGGTAAATGTTCAAGGGGATGGAAACCTTAAACACCCTGATTTCACCATTACACATGTATGCATGTATCAAAATATCACACGTACCCCATAAATATGTAAAATTATTATGTAACAATAAATTTTTTTAAGAAATAACAGGGAAAACAATGTGCACTATTGTTGTCCTGGATCCTCAAAGTTTTGAAAATCTGCAGCTACTTAACAATAACAGCCTCAGGCTTCTCAGGGAGAAAAATTTCCATTTCCAGCCCCAAGACTTCACCACAAGTGTGGCTTCAGAAGATGTTGTGAACTGGGAAAGGCCAGAAACCAGAGAGTGGGAAAAAGTGATAGCAGCCATAGAATCAAGAAAGGACCCTGCAGAGGGTGACAGCTTTCATCTGAATTGGCCATTTCTACTCACTTCCAAAGAAAGGGAATAAAAAATGCACTGATGAGACCAACCTGGCTCAAACATCAAGGAAGTCTCAAAAATGCTACTAGGAAGAAGGAAAGTCTTGCAATACAAGAGAGGACCCACAGCAATGTGAAATGTGCTCTGCTGTTTTTTTTTTTTTATATACATACTGTAAGTTCTAGGGTACATGTGCACAATGTGCAGGTTTGTTACATATGTATACATGTGCCATGTTGCTTTGCTGCACCCATCAACTTGTCATTTACATTAGATATTTCTCCTAATGCTATCCCTCTCCCCCAGCCCCCCACCCCATGACAGGCCCTGGTGTGTTATGTTCCCCTTCCTGCTTCCAAGTGTTCTCATTGTTCAATTCCCACTTGTGAGTGAGAACATGCGGTGTTTGGTTTTCTGTCCTTGTGATAGTCTGCTGATAATGATGGTTTCCAGCTTCAACCATGTCCCTGCAAAGGACATGAACTCATCCTTTTTTATTGCTGCATAGTATTCCATGGTGTATATGTACCACATTTTCTTAATCCAGTCTATCATTGATGGACATTTGGGTTGGTTCCAAGTCTTTGCTATTGTGAACAGTGTTGCAATAAACATATGTGAGCATGTGTCTTTATAGTAGCATGATTTATAATCCTTTGGGTAAATACCCAGTAATGGGATGGCTGGGTCAAATGGTATTTGTAGTTCTAGATCCTTGAGGAATTGCCACACTGTCTTCCACAATGATTGAACTAATTTACACTCCCACCAACAGTGTAAAATCATTCCTATTTCTCCACATCCTCTTCAGCACCTGTTGTTTCCTGACTTTTTAATGATCACCATTTTAACCGGCATGAGATGGTATCTCATTGTGGTTTTGATTTGCATTTCTCTGCTGACCAGTAATGAGCATTTTTTCATGTGTCTGTTGGCTGCATAAATGTCTTCTTTTGAGAACTGTCTGTTCATATCCTTCACCCACTTTTTGATGGGGTTGTTTGTTTTCTTCTTGTAAATTTGTTTAAATTCTTTGTAGATTCTGGATATTACCCCTTTGTCAGATGGGTAGATTGCAAAAATTTTCTCCCATTCTGTAGGTTGCCTGTTCACTCTGATGGTAGTTTCTTTCACTGTGCAGAAGCTCTTTAGTTTAATTAGATCCCATTTGTCTATTTTGGCTTTTGTTGCCATTGCTTTTGATGTTTTAGTCATGAAGTCCTTGCTCATGCCTATGTCCTGAATGGTATTGCCTAGGTTTTCCTCTAGGGTTTTTATGGTTTTAGGTCCAACGTTTAAGTCTTTAATCCATCTTGAATTAATTTTTGTATAAGGTGTAAGGAAGGGATCCAGTTTCAGCTTTCTACATATGGCAAGCCAGTTTTCCCAGCACCATTTATTAAATAGCAAATCCTTTCCCCATTTCTTGTTTTTCTGCTGGCTTCTTTTTTTAATACTGCAGATTCTTTTCAGTATTCTATCATTTAAGCGGCTTTTACAAGTAGCTGGAGAAGATTCCAAGACCTCTTCAAGCTTTGAACTTCTCTATGTTCAACCCATAGCAGGCCAGTAAATACTTGTTAATGAGGTAACCAATGGTTCTTTGTCCCACAGTATCCTCCATGCCTAGAAAGCCCTTCTCTTACTTTGATCAGCATTATGATTATACTTAAGGCCTGGCTCAAATCCTACCTTTTCCCTAAGGCCTTCCAAACTTATCTCAATGTACAGTACTCTCCAGACACTGAACCCAATTACTTAGACTGTGCAGTTGTCACTTCTATTCTTAAATAATTAACAACACTGGCAGCACAGAATACCTTATTGCTCCTGCAAGGGAATAAACTATATTTCACAGTTCTTTTAATTACAGCTAGCATTTGTTGTGGTGCTTTAGGTTTTCAAAGAACTCTGTGTACCGCGTCTTATCTGACAGACACGATAATGCTGCAAGGCAGGCAGGCTCCTTTGGTTGCAAGTGACAGAAGCCCAACCTGATGGAGCTTATCTAGAAATGAAAACTTAGTAGAACATTGGGTTTGCTCAGAGAATCAAAGAATAATCCAAGGCAGATGTGGTGGGCTCAAAGAGGAGTATGAGGGATTTGATGCCTCTAATAGTTCAATAGTCAATTTCTTCTGTCTCTCATTTCTGCTCGAGTGTTGCCCACATTCTTTCCTGTTTTCTTTGGCTTTCTGGGGAGAGGGAGTAGAAGAGGGGAGGCGGCATTCCTTTTCCATGTCAATGTTTATAAATCCCACAGGCTCAAAATAATTGCAAGATTGGAGAAAGGAATAATTTCTCTAAATAAATGCAAGATATGCACTTGAAGAAAAAGGGGAGGACAAGAAACATGCAAACAACAACAACAACAACAACAAAAAACGAAAAACAAATCTCCACTCCAGCAGGATACACTTATTATCCTCTGAAAACGGCATTGACACTAATGCTTAAACAAGCTATAAAGCTATTCTTCAACCAAGTTTCCCAGCATTCTCTCCACGATAATTTACTATTTCAGTAACTAATATAGAGTCTTGCTCATAAGAAAATACTCAACAAAAATTAGTTAACACAAAATTGATTAAAACTTCCTCTATCCCAGGCTTCCTTTCCAAATCAGAATATTAAGACTGTAAGAGGCGGGAATTGAACAATGAGAACACATGGACACAGGAAGGGGAACATCACACACCAACGCCTGTTGTGGGGTGGGGGGAGGGGGGAGGGATAGCATTAGGAGATATACCTAATGTTAAATGACGAGTTAATGGGTGCAGCACACCAACATGGCACATGTATACATATGTAACAAACCTGCAGGTTGTACACATGTACCCTAAAACTTAAAGTATAATAATTAAAAGAAAAGAAAATGAAGCTACCTCTCAATAATTACAGTGACATATAATTTGGAAACTGTTAAAACAAGAATTATAACAACAGCAACAACAAAACCTGACAATCATCAAGTGCTCAACGTATGCAGGGGCCATTCTCACAGGTTTGCGTGTGTTAATTCAGTTGGTTACTCCCCACAGCAACTCCTTGGGGAAGGTACTATTATCCCCATTTGATAGAGGAAGAAACTGAAGCCTAAAGAGGTTAAGACCTGCCTGAGATGACACAGATGGCTGGTAGCAGGACAGGGATTCAAACTCCCAACTGTCTGAGTGGGCCTGGGCTCCTGTCCTCTTGCTACCTGTCCTATAGTAGGGATCCCCAAGGACTGACTGCAATCCTATGACCATGGCACTTAAGCCTCCCTCTCTGAATCGAACTTTCATCACATTTACTCCCTGGTCACCTTTAAATGTGGAGGAAATGGAAAGGAAATCTTTGGGAAATATAGGTGATCAATATATCAGGGATATTTCCTGCAGCTAGAAATAGATGTTCTCAAAAAAGTTATGTCTACTCATTTTTGTTCCTTTGTCCAAGCTGTTTCCTTTGCTTGAATCTCGAATCCCTTCTTAAACTTCTCTGCCTTGTCAAAATCTCACTCACTTTAAGACCCCTCTCAAGCATCTCCTTCTCTCTGTAGCTCTTCCTGGCTCACTCAAGAGATACATCACTAACTCCTATGTTCTATAGCACTAGTCATTCTCCTATAATACAAACTTGCCTTATTCATATATATTTTGATGAGATTGTGAGGACCTCCAAGGCAGGAGCTAATTCTCCTGTGCCTTATTGGTGTCTGGGTCACCAGTGTCCAGTACCAAGTTTGGTAGATAGGAGATGTTCAAGGAATGCTTGTTGAATGAGTAGATAAGTGAATGAAAGAAAGCATACTGATATCGTCTGCTTCTCTGATTGGAGGACCCACAAGTAGATTCCAAAATGACTTCCAATTCAGTCTCTTGTTACTGAGAGGGATACCAAGACTAAAGTCCTAGGAAGGAAACCAGTGGTCTTGGAGAGAGATCAAAAGAAACAGTTCCTGTACAGTCCCTGGCATTGTTATGTCTGAAATGTCAAAGAAAGAAGAAAGAAAAAATAAACATAAGTTAAGCCATGTAACTACTAAGATGCTATAATCAAATTATTTTGGTCACTGCCTCTCCGTCCTAACCATAGGAGTCCAAAAAGATGATAATCTGGATCTATGTCAAACACAGAAGAATTCTGGTGGGCGTATTTCCTCAGCTGTATGCACAAGTAACTCATTAGCTCCCTTGTGGGCATGGGCTGTGCAGTTGGTTTGACTTTTTCAGAAGTTTTCCACTCAAGCTTCTGAAGCCAGTTGCTTCCCCTACCTGCACAATGCAGCCGTACACACTCTCCACAGAGCATGCTCAATCATGAGCTTCAAATTTGCATACCCAGAAAAGGAAGAACTGTAACTCCCTCCTACAAATATTGGAAACTAATGCACTTTCTGGGAGACTAGAAATAATAGCATCAAAAAATTACAGACCTATAAGATTCTTGTAAATATGGTGCTACCCCTCATCTCACTCATCTGAGAAATCAAATGTCTTTCCAGGATTGCACAGCTAATCAGGAGTACTGGTGAGCCCATATGCACCTCAGAGAAATTTATTCTTGTGTGTGTAATAAAACTCATTTTTAGGTAAGAATGCTCCAGCATTGTTGCATCCATTAAAAATGATATTTGCAAAAGAAACTCTAAGATCCCCAGACACTCTAATATGGGTCAAATTGGATATAGTTCATCAAAGGTAGGGTAAATTTTAATTTATGATATGAAACATTTCTGGCCTTTTGGAGAGTCTGTAGAGCCAAAAATGTGCTAAAAACCAAATGGTTTAGAGATTCAAGATGTAGGATCTTGAAAACAGATTTGGAGGCTTAGAGAAGTTCCTGAAAAAAGACAGAAGGGGTGGAGGATTAATTTGAGAGATGAGCCCAGCCACTGAAAGAGAGTGTTAAGTACGGCTGTTTATCAACAATTGCTACCCAATCCTGGGTGAAGAGTATGCTTGCTTCTTGAACATCAGGCTTGGCTCTGTGACATGCTTTAGCCAAAGATACATGAGTGCAAGTGACATGTGTGGTCTCCAGACAGCAGGATATAGTTCCCCACATACTTGTTTGCCTGACTTTGGAATCATAAAGTCCTATGCTTGGTTTAGCTTCCATGAGCTAGATTCCAAGTAGCTACAATGAGTAGGCTTTTTGCCAGTCCCTGGTGGACATGTGGTATAAGCAAAAAATACAATGTGCTATTTTAAGCTTCTGAAATTTAGAGGTGGAGATATAGCATGATATAACCTATCCAGTCTAAAAGAGACTAAGAAGCCAAAGAAAAGTTGAAGTGTGTCAGTTCTGAGAAGCATGGCTTATGAATTAAACTGGGTGACAGTGGATTCCAGCTGAGCTGTGTACCTATCATGTGCCTACATGAACAACCTTCATATTCTGAATTTGCTAAGAACTTGGTAAAGTCACTGCAGTGTTTCAAGCCAAATGATGACTCCCAACAGAGAAGAAGGATCAGAAAGGACAGTGAAGTAAAGGAGGCCCCCACCCAGGCAAAGCCCCTGGACTCTAAAAGCAGAGAATAATCAAAAACCCACACATTCCCATTTATATTTTGCTCTTGGCATTCCCATCACATCTTTACTTTCATTTCACATTTAGTGGCCTGTACATCTCACATCTCATCTCCAGTGGCATCTGTTCATCTGACTATATATACATGAGAGTATATGTGTGCCTGTGTGTGCTCACGTGCATGCCCAAATATTCAGAAAATACTTTCTAGATACAGAGAATAACACTACACACTCTTCTCTACATAGATGCTTTCTTTTCTCTAAATGATGCGGCCTCCACCTAGTAGCATTAACATAGATCTAACACTCAATGGTGAATTCCTGTTAGAATTGGGGCCATGGTTACAGCTGCTACCAGTGGCCCAAACCAGAGTATTATCTCATGTTAGATGCTAATGCTAAGACATTGAAGGAAGAAGGTCAAGGCTTTAACTTATACATCACTTCAGCTTACACTCTCTTTCAAAGAGCATATGTCATTTACTATACAAGTTAAAGAGCACTGAAAATTTCTAAATTGGATGTTTTAAATATGGGTAAAAAGAGAACGAGCTGATCCATAGATTCCAGAAGACAAAGGGGAAATTCACCCGCTAATGGATCAATTCTATATATTTTTATTTCCATCATCACCTCTATGTAGGGTTCACCTGCACATGAGAATCCTAGAGAATTAGTGTTGAAAGGTGCATTGGTCTAATCTCCTCCTTTTATTGAAAAGCTGAAGCCTAGAAAGGTTAAGTGACAAGCCAGCTCCAACGGAATGGTACTGGCTGCTTTGTACATAAGACCATTTTTTGAAGCTGAATCTTGACTAGGAAGAACTTATTCCTTTCTTTCTGTCCTTTCCATCAGCTACTGGCTGCTTCATCCATAAGGAGTCCAATATTTGAAGCTGAATTTCGACCAGGAGAAACTTACTTCTTTCTTTCTGTCATTTTCATCAGCATAGCCACCATCAGCCTTTCATTATGTGCCTGTTTACTTTGTGTTTTACTAAATGCCCTTTATAGACCTTGCAGAAGCTATTTTGGTAGCTTCCTGCGCATAGAAAATGTTTTGTTTAGGCTCTACCTTATGTTCAGAGTGTCTGGGGCCTGTTGAAGTTGATTGAATTAAACAAAAACAGGGGGTCAGATAACAGAAAAGGACAGTTACAGACATGGCTTTAACTCATTCCCCACCACTCCCCTGCATGCCTCTGTCTTTCCTGCCCCACTCCTCTACAGTTAGAACTCCAAAACATCCATTGAAATAGTTCTGGCAGCAGAATTAGAGGAAGTCTATGTACCTTGGAAATGAAGCTCACACTCTAGAGAATGTGATCTCAGATATCAGAGTTTCATCCATTATTGCAGTCTTAAATCAAAGGGCCCTTGGGAAACATCTCTGCCTACCACAAATTATAATATAGCTACAAAAATCTTTTCTGTAATAAGTAATTTTCCATGAAAACAACACTTCTCAGTCTTTCAGGACATAGTTGAAACATGACTTAGATTGAAGTTGTTTTTTATATACATTTTTTAAATGGAAAGAAGACTTCAAAATTCCCTAAGCATCATGCATTTTTAATCTTGCACAGCTTGACTCCTCCATAGAAAACTCATCTTAGGAAAGGGGGCTTATTGCAACAGGCACTTTTTAAACTTTATCCTCAAGAAGGCTAAAGTTGATTTGTGAATTGTTCTCATCTTAGAAGAGTCTTTCGACAGAGAAAAGAAGCCAACCATTACCCATTTTGCCTGGAACCAAGAAAAGCTGCGCTTGAATCCAAACTGAACTGAAGAATTAAGATCAAATATTAGGAAATCTACTTTTGCACCAAGTATACACTGAAATGGATCTCCCATGGTGGAGGACATTAAAAAATATCTTCCTATACTACGTACAATTTAGAGATCTTTAATTTCAACTAGTCCAGATAGAGCACTGCCTAAAGGCAAAGGTATGTGTTAGATATATCCAAAAGTCACTACTAGTCTGCCCTGATCTGAGATAAAAATAGAGATCAAGACCCCCAAGGTAGAAAAAAAGACCTCATTTAAGTAGGATAAAAAAGACCAGTCTTTATCCAGCCAACGAGAAACAAGCTGGGAGAGGCCTGAGTGTGTCTAGACTCTGATGAAAAGGGGTCAGTAGAAGAAGACATGTTATAAATACAAGAAAGAGAGGACACAATTCATAGGACAATGACTGAGGAAGGTGACAATGACTGGAGACAGATGGGGGCATTCACCTTGGAGAGAAAGAGGAAGAACTTACCCAATGTAATAGAAAAAAAGGAGCTTGTAGTTTCCAGCAACAAGAAAATAGGCTTGTAGATTAAGGTCTGGTTTGTAGATTTAGTCACAGAAATTTCGTGGAGTTCACTTCTGATTGTTTCTCTTTCTGAAGTAGGTCATCTGTTGACCTTGGTCAGTAGAACCAGTCAGAGATTGAAGGCAAGTGGGACAGAGTGAAATGGTTGTAAAGAATAGAGGAGCAAGCTGACTGACGAAATACAACAGACCTGCCAATGGTTTTAAATCATGAGTTGACTATTAATTCATAATAATGCTAAAAAGAGCAAATTGATTTCCTCAAGCAGGGAACAGTTCTCTGGTATAAGATGGAAGATTCTATTTAGAATCCACTCAGAGTTAATTGACATTTTCATGACCGCACACATTTATCCATTTCTTCTCACCTATTCGAGAGCAGCATTTCTGTTTCATCGTCGATTATTTCCTCACTACTGGATCTTTCCCATCTGCAGACAATTATGCTTGCATTTATTGCTTTCAATTTTTTTTTTAAAAAAACTCTTTTTATTCTACTACTTTCTAGCTACTGCTCTTTTTCTTTACTTTCCTCTAAAGGCAAACATCCTCAAAAGAATTGTGTATATTCACACTCTATCGCTACCACTTTTCTTGTTCCATCATTTTTTTAATCAACTCCAGTCACCCCCACGACTCCATCTAAAGTGCTCTTATTAATTTCACTAATGACCCACTCATTGCTAAAAATAGCAGTCAGTTCTTAAATCTCATCTTTCTTACTCTCTCAGCAACACTTAACATAGTTGGTCACATGTCCATGTGCTCCTTGAAGCATTTTCTTTACTGGTTTTCCAGGGCCTCACACCATTCTCTTGGTTGTATTCCTGCCCCACTGGCCAATACTTCTCAGAGTTAGTCTTTTATCTCCCTCCTCAAATGGTGGATTTTCCTCAGGGCCCAGCCCCTAGACCTCCTTTCTTTTAATCTACACTGACTCCTCTGAAATTGTCATCCAGACTCATGTCTGTCACCATAGACTCATGTCTGTCACTATAGACTGATCAATCCCTAATTTCTATCTCTAGCCCAGACATGAATTCTAGATTCCTATATCCAGCCATCTACTTGACATCTCTATGTGGATGTCTAATAGGTATCTCAAACTAACATATCAAGGACTGAGTTCCTGACCTTTCCCCAAAAACTGTTCCACCCATGGTCTCTACATCTCAGTAAATGACAATTTCCTTTGTTTTCTAATTGCTCATCCCCAAAACCTTGGAATCATCCTTGTCTCCCCTTTTATTTTCTTGTCACACATCAAATTGGTTGGCAAAGAAACCTATAACTTCTCAGTACCCTTAATACTACCACCCTGGCCTAAGCCATGATTACCTTTGACAACATTCCTCCAACAGCCTTATTGTAGTCCTCCTTTTTTCTAACCTTGCCTTCCCACAGTCTTCATCAGCACAGCATCTAGAGGGATCCTTCTTAAATGATGATGACACTTCTCTGCTCAAAACTATTAATGGTTTCCCATGTTAGAGAAAAAAGAAAACATTTGTTCAATAGACTATGAGGCCTCACACAACCAGTTGCCTTTCCCACAACGGAATTCTAGAGCCAGTTCACACCAGCTCCCAAGAGCCAACTGTTAAATGTTCAGGAATTTTGTAAGCCAATTATTAAACATGGTCATTTAAAAAGTTAAATTACATAAACTTATAACTAAGTTATATTTAAAAGTAAGAAATACTCATAACTTATCCCTCTTTAATTATTTTAACACATTTTGCTGTTATTTAAGCTTTTGAGGTTATGTCTATCGATCATCGCTGTATGGGGGGAAATGCTATGGAATCGCGTGTGGCTGTGCATCTCCTTCCAGCTCCACATTCAATGCATCAGGATGGTAGTGTGAAATTGGCTACGGTGGGAGCATTTACACCACAGAAATTGGCAAAATGCTACTAATCAGGGCTTTTATCTCCCAGAGAAGCCAGTTGTGGAGCAGCACACCACTGTCTCCAAATTCATGCTCATACATGCACATGACTCCTCTGACCTTCTCTACTACTATTCTCCCCAGGGACACCCCAGTCCAGCCACAAAGACCTCTCCTTCCTGCTTCTCAAAAACACACCAGGAATGCTCCAGGCTCAGAGCCTTTGCATTGCTGTGGCCCCTGCCTGAGCTGCTCGTCCTCCGGAGATCTGCTATCTCATCTCAGGGCTTTAGTCCAATGTCACCTTCTCAGTGAAGCCTTCTCTGGCCAAGAACAAAAATAAAAAGTCATATGCTGAATCTTTTTCCACTTTAGTTTTCTCTTTAGCACTTATCATCAGGTAATAAAATAAATATATTTAATATTTTTTTATGTCTCCCACACTTGAATTTAAGCTCTACAAGAGCTAAAATTTTCATCGATTCTGTTCCTTATTTTCCCTTCAATCACTAGAATGGTGACTAATGCATAGTAGGGGTTCAATAAGTATTTATTTAAGCAATAAATGATTTAATTAAATAAGGTATATAGATGTATAGATATGTTGTAAGCATAAAAAACACAAACAGAAATGATAAACACCCACATTTCTATAGTTTAGTGAAGGAGAGGGAAAACAACAGAAGGAATGGAAAGTAACTATTTCTGCAATGTTTTATTTCTTTGGGGTGAAAAAAGGACCTCTAAGTGAAGAGGACACCACAGACTAAGGGAAAATATTTGCAAAACACAAATCCAAAAAAGAACTTGTATGGGTACAAAAAAAATAGAAAGAATGAATAAGACCTACTATTTGATAGCTTAACAGGGTGACTGTAGTCAATAATGGTACATTTTAAAATAACTAAAAGAAAATAATTGGATTGTTTGTAACACAAAGGATAAATTCTTGAGGGGATGGATATCCCATTCTCTATGATGTGATTATTTCACATTGCATGCCTGTATCAAAACATCTCATAACAAATCTATTTATCCCATAAATCTATGCACCTACTATATACCTACAAAATTTAAAAATTAAAAAAATTAAAGACAAACAAGAACTTGTATCAAGAATGTATAGTGAACTCAAAATTCAACAAGAAAGCAAACATTCTTTATACAATGTGTACATGTATTGAAACATAGCAATGTACCTCATAAATATGTACAATTATCATCAACTAAAAATAAAATAAAATGTTAAAATTAAAAGAAAGCAGAGTTGGGCAAGAAAGGCAAATAGAAACAGCTCCAGTCTGCAGTGCCCAGCAAGATCGATGTAGAAGGTGGGTAATTTCTGCATTTCCGACTGAAGTACCCAGTTCATCTTATTGGGACGGGTTGGACAATGGGTGCAGCCCCTGGAGGGTGAGCTGAAACAGGGTGGGGGGTTGCCTTACCCGGGAAGTGGAAGGGGTCAGGGGATTTCCCTCTCCCAGCCAAGGGAAGCCGTGAGAGACTGTAACAGGAGGATTGGTGCACTCCAGCCCAGATACTGTGCTTTTCCCATGGTATTTGCAACTGGCAGACCAGGAGATTCCCTCTGGTGCCTACACCACCAGGGCCCTGGGTTTCAAGCACAAAACTAGGTGGCCATTTGGGCAGACACTGAGCTAGCTACAGGAGTTTTTTTTCATACCCCAGTGGTACCCAGAACACCAGCGAGACAGAACTGCTCACTCCCATGGAAAGGGGGCTGAAGCCAGGGAGCCAAATCGTCTGGCTTGGCAGGTCCCACCTCCACTGAACCCAGCAAACTAAGATCCACTAGCTTGAAATTCTCACTGCTAGCACAGCAGTCTGAGATTGACCTGGGAGGCTCGAGCTTGGTGGGAGGAGGGGTTTCTGCCATTGCTGAGGCTTGAGTAGGTGGTTTTGCCCTCACAGTGTAAAGAAAGCTGCTGGGAAAGTTCAAACTGGGCAGAGTTCACTGCAGCTCAGCAAGGCTGCTGCAGCCAGACTGCCTTTCTAGATTCCTCCTCTCTGGGAAGGGTATCTCTGAAAAAAGGCAGCAGCCCCAGTCAGGGGCTTACAGATAAAACCCCCATCTCCCTGGGACAGAGCACCTGGGGAAAGGGGCAGCTGTGGGCACAGCTTCAGCAGACTTAAACGTCCCTGCCTGACAGCTCTGAAGAGAGCAACAGATCTCCCAGCACAACATTCAAGCTCTGATAAGGGACAGACTACCTCCTCAAGTGAGTCCCTGACCCCTATGTAGCCTGACTGGGAGACACCTCCCAGAAGAATCTGACAGACACCTCATACAGGAGAGCTCTGGCTGGCATCTGGTGGGTGCCCCTCTGGGATGAAGTTTCCAGAGGAAGGAAGAGGCAGCAATCTTTGCTGTTCTGCAGCCTTTGCTGGTGATACCCAGGCAAACAGGGTCTGAAGTGGACCTCCAGCAAACTCCAGCAGACCTGCAGCAGAGAGACCTGACTGTTGGAAGGAAAACTAACAAACAGAAAGGAATGGTATCAACATCAACAAAAAGGACGTCCACTCAGAGACTCCATCCGAAGGTCACTAACATCAAAGACCAAAGGTAGATAAATTCACGAAGATGGGGAGAAACCAGTGTAAAAAGGCTGAAAATTCCAAACACCCGAACACCTCTTCTCCTCCAAAGGATCACAACTCCTCAGCAGCAAGGGAACAAAACTGGATGGAGAATGAGTTTGACAAATTGACAAAAGTAGGCTTCAGAAGGTGGGTAATAACAAACTACTCCAAGCTAACGGAGCATGTTCTAACCCAATGCAAGGAAGCTAAGAACCTTGAAAAAAGGTTAGACGAATTGCTAACTAGAATAAACAGTTTAGAGAAGAGCATAAATGACCTGATGGGGCTGAAAAACACACCATGAGAACTTCGTGAAGCATACACAAGTATCAATAGCCAAATTGATCAAGTAGAAGAAAGGATATCAGAGATTGAAGATCAACTCAATGAAATAAAGTGAGAAGACAAGATTAGAGAAAAAAGAGTAAATAGAAACAAACAAAGCCTCCAAGAAATATTGGACTATGTGAAAAGACCAAATCTATGTTTGATTGGTATAACTGAAAGTGATGGGGAGAAGGGAACCAAGCTGGAAAACACTCTTCAGGATATTATCCAGAAGAACTTCCCCAACCTAACAATGCAGGCCAACATTCAACTTCAGGAAATACGGAGAACACCACAAAGATACTCCTCAAGAAGAGCAAACCCAGACACATAATTGTCAGATTCACCTAGGTTGAAATGAAGGAAAAAATATGAAGTGCAGCCAGAGAGAAAGGTCGGGTTACCCCCAAAGGGAAGCCCATCAGACTAACAGCAGATCTCTCTGCAGAAACCCTACAAGCCAGAAGAGAGAGTGGGGGCCAATATTCAACATTCTTAAAGAATTTCCAACCCAGAATTTCATATCCTGACAAACTAAGCCTCATAAGTGAAGGAGAAATACAATCCTTTACAGACAAGCAAATGCTGAGAGATTTTGTCACCACCAGGCCTGCCCTACAAGAGCTCCTGAAGAAAGCATTAAACATGGAGAGGAACAACTGGTACCAGCCTCTACAAAAACATAGCAAATTGTAAAGACCATCAACACTATGAATAAACTGCATCAACTAACGGGCAAAATAACCAGCTAGCATCATAATGGCAGAATCGAATACACACATAACAATATTAACCTTAAGTGTAAACAGACTAGATAGATACCCCAATTAAAAGATGCGGACTGACAAACTGGTAAAGAGTCAAGATCCATCAGTGTGCTGTATTCAGGAATCCCATCTCATGGGCAGAGACACACATAGGCTCAAAATAAAAGGATGGAGGAAGATCTACCAAGCAAATGGAAAACAAAAAAAGGCAGGGGTTGCAATCCTAGTCTCTGACAAAACAGACTTTAAACCAACAAAGATCAAAAGAGACAAAGAAGGGCATTATATAATGGTAAAGGGATCAATGCAACAAGAAGATTTAACTATCCTAAATATATATGCACCCAATAAAGGAGCACCCAGATTCATAAAGCAAGATCTTAGAGACCTACAAAGAGACTTAGACTCACACACAATAATAGTGGGAGACTTTAACATCCCACTGTCAGTATTAGACACATCAATGAGACAGAAAATTAACAAGGATATCCAGGACTTGAACTCAGCTCTGGACCAAGCATACCTAATACACACCTGCAGAACTCTCCACCCCAAATCAACAGAATATACACTCTTCTCAACACCACATTGCACTTATTCTAAAATTGACCACATAATTAGAAGTAAAACACTCCTCAGCAAATGCAAAAGAATGGAAATCATAACCAACAGTCTCTCAGACCACAGGACAATCAAATTAGAACTCAGGATTAAGAAACTCACTCAAAACTGCACAACTACAAGGAAACTGAACACCCTGCTCCTGAATGACTACTGGGTGAAGAACAAAATGAAGGCAGAAATAAAAATGTTCTTTGAAACCAATGAGAACAAAGACACAATATACCAGAATCTCAGGGACACATTTAAAGCAGTGTGTAGACGGAAATTTATAGCACTAAATGCCCACAAGAGAAAGCAGGAAAGATCTAAAAGTGACACCCTAACATCACAATTAAAAGAACTAGAGAAGCAAGAGCAAACACATTCAAAAGCCAGCAAAATACAGTAACTAAGATCAGAGCAGAACTGAAGGACACAGAGACATGAAAAACCCTTCAATAAATCAAAGAATCCAGGAGCTGGTTTTTTGAAAAGATCGACAAAATACATAGACTGATAGCCAGACTAATAAAGAAGAACAGAGAGAAGAATCAAATAGATGCAATAAAAAATGATAAAGAGGATATTACCACCGATCCCACAGAAATACAAACTACCATCAGAGAATACTATAAACACCTGTACGCAAATAAACTAGAAAATCTAGAAGAAATGGATAAATTCCTGGACAAATACACCCTCCCAAGACTAAAGCAGGAAGAAGTCAAGTCCCTGAATGGACCAATAATAAGTTCTGAAATTGAGGCAGTCATTAATAGCCTTCCAACCAGAAAAAGTCCAGGACCAGACAGATTCACAGCCAAATTCTACCAGAGGTACAAAGAGGAGCTGGTACCATTCCTTCTGAAACTATTCCAAACAATAGAAAAAGAGGGAATCCTCCCTAACTCATTTTATGAGGCCAGCATCATCCTGATAGCAACACATGGCAGAGACACAACAAAAAAAGAAAATTTCAGGCCAATATCCCTGATGAACATTGATGCAAAAATCCTCAATAAAATACTGACAAACCAAATCCAGCAGCACATCAAAAAGCTTATCCATCATGATCAAGTTGAATTCATCCCTGGGATGCAAGGCTGGTTCAACATTTGCAAATCAATAAACGTAATCCATCATATAAAGAGAACCAATGATAAAAACCACATGATTATCTCAATAGATACAGAAAAGCCCTTTAACAAAATTCAACAGCCCTTCATGCTAAAAACTCTCAATAAACTAGATATTGATGGAACATATCTCAAAATAATAAGAGCTATTTATAACAAACCCACAGCCAATATACTGAAGCAGCAAAAACTGGAAGGATACCCTTTCAAAACCGGCACAAGACAAGGATGCCCTCTCTCATCACTCCTATTCAACATAGTATTCGAAGTTCTGGCCAGGGCAATCGGACATGAGAAAGAAATAAAGCGTATTCAATTAGGAAAAGAGGAAGTCAAATTGTCTCTGTTTGCAGATGACATGATTGTATATTTAGAAAAACCCAATGACTCAGCCCAAAATCTCCTGAAGCTGATAAGCAACTTCAGCAAAGTCTCAGGATTCAAAATCAACGTGCAAAAATCACAAGCATTCCTATACACAAGTAACAGACAAACAGAGCCAAATCATGAAAGAACTCCCATTCACAATTGCTACAAAAAGAATAAAATACCTAGGAATATAACTTACAAGGGATGTGAAGGACCTCTTCAACGAGAACTACAAACCACCGTTCAATGAAATAAGAGAGGACACAAACAAATGGAAGAACATTCCATGCTTATGGATAAGAAGAATCAATATGGTGAAAATGGCCATATTACCCAAGGTCATTTATAGATTCAATGCCATCCCCATCAAGCTACCATTGATTTTCTTCACAGAATTGGAAAAAACTACTTTAAATTTCATATGGAACCAAAAAAGAGCCCACAAAGCCAAGACAACTGTAAGCAAAAAGAATAAAGCTGGAGGCATCATGCTACCTGACTTCAAACTATACTACAAGGCTACAGTAACCAAAACAGCATGGTACTGGTACTGAAACAGAGATATAGACCAATGGAACAGAACAGAGGCCTCAGAAATAACACTACACATCTACAACCATCTGATCTTTGACAAACCTGGCAAAAACAAGCAATGGGGAAAGGATTCCCTATCTAATAAATGGTGTTGGGAAAGCTGGCTAGCCATATGTAGAAAGCTGAAACTGGATCCCTTCCTTACACTGTATACAAAAATTAATTCAAGATGGATTAAAGTCTTGAATGTAAGACCTAAAACCATGAAAACCCTAGAAGAAAACCTAGGCAATACCATTCAGGACATAGGCATGGGCAGACTTCATGACTAAAACACCAAAAGCAATGGCAAAAAAGCCAAAATAGACAAATGGGATCTAACTAAACTGAAGAGCTTCTGCATGGCAAAAGAAAATATCAGAGGGAACAGGCAACCTACAGAATGGAGGAAAATTTTTGCTATCTATCCATCTGACAAAGGGCTAATATCCAGAATCTACAAAGAACTTAAACAAATTTACAAGAAAAAAACAACCCTGTCAAAAAGTGGGTGAATGATATGAACAGACACTTCTCTAAAGAAGACATTTATGCAGCCAACATACGTATGAAAAAAGCTCATCATCACTGGTCATTACAGAAATGCAAATCAAAACCACAATGAGACACCATCTCATGCCAGTTAGAATGGTGATCATTAAAAAGTCAGGAAACAACAGATGCTGGAGAGGATGTGGCGAAACAGGAATTCTTTTACACTGTTGGTGGGAGTGTGAGTTAGTTCAACCATTGTGGAAGACAGTGTGGTGATTCCTCAAGGATATACAACTAGAAATACCATTTGACCCAGGAATCCCATTACTGGGTATTTACCCAAAGGATTATAAATCATTCTACTATAAAGACACATGCACATGTATGTTTATTGCAGCACTGTTCACAGTAGCAAAGACTTGGAACCAACCCAAATGCCCATCAATGATAGACTGGATAAAGAAAATGTGGCACATATACACCATGGAATACTATGCAGCCTGAGAAAACGATGAGTTCATGTCCTTTGCAGGGACATGGATGAAACTAGAAACCATCATTCTCAGCAAACTAACACAAGAACAGGAAATCAAACACCACGTGTTCTCACTCATAAGTGGGAGTTGAACAATGAGAACACGTGGACATGGGGGAGGGGCATCACACATTGGGGCCTGTCAGTGGGGTGAGGGTGAGGGGCTGGGGGAGGGACAGCATTAGGAGAATTACCTAATGTAGATGAAGGGTTGATGGGTAAAGCAAACCACCATGGCACGTGTATACCTATGTGACAAACCTGCATGTTTTGCACATGTACCCCAGAACTTAAAAAAAGAAAGCGAACATCCCAGTTTAAATATATATATACACATCTATCTATCTATCTATCTATTAAAGATTTCAATGAACACTTCACCAAAGAAGATATATGTATGTCAAATAAACTCAGTGGATGTGCAACATCATTTGTTTTTAGTGAAATAAAAAGAAAAATCACAACGAGATACTTCTTATACCTATTAGAATGGTTAAAATGATTTTTTTAAACTTGACAATACTACATGCTGATGAGGAGTGGAAGCAACTAGAACTCTTGTACAATGCCATTGGGAATGCAAAATGTTACAGACATTCTGGAAATAAATTTGGCAGTTCTTACAAAGTTAAACACATACTTATGATATGACCCAGCAATCTTACTTCTAGTCATTTATGCCACAGAAATGAAAACTTATTTGTACACAAAACCTGTACACAAATATTTATAGCAACATTATTCATATTTGCCAAAAACAAATCAAATGTTCTTCAGTGAGTAAAAGGAATGGTACATCCATACAATGGAATGCATCCCTCAATAAAAAGAAATGACATATTGATAGACACAACACGCATTATACAGAGTGAAAGAAGTCAGCCTCCAAAAGTTACCTATTGTAAGATTCCATTTACATAACATTCTGGAAAAGGCAGAACTATGGGGCCAAAGAATAGAGCTGCAGTAGCCAGATGTTGAGGTAGGGGGAGGTTTGATTACAAAAGGGCAGCACGAAGGAATTTGGGGGGGGTGATGAAACTGTTTTTCTCTAGTGGTAGCTACATGAATCTACGCACATGTTAAAACTCAGTTGTGCAACAAAAAAAGTATTTTACTCTATACAAATTTAAAAAATAAAACAATGGGGATGACAACTAAAAAGACATCTGAAGCAAATAACTGCAAAATATTATCATCTTATAATTTATTTGGTAGATATATGTTTGTTAGATTATTTTCTATACTCTCCTATATTTGAAATATATTGAGTAAAAACTTTAAAATTGAAAATTAATATTAGCCTATTCTCAATCACCTGAAAAATGTGTACTTTCACTTATTATCTTTGACAAAATTGTGTTTATGACATTAGAGCCAAGACCGCCTGAGTTGTAGCATTTAACCCTCGATGTACTGATAAGCATATCTGATTCCTGATAAACTGATGTTCTAATGTCAAAATGGCAATAATTATCCCACAGCCGCCATTTTTACTCATGCTGAATTATTTTGTTAGAAAGTTAAAGCTTGCATTGACCATTCATAATTGAGACATTTTAATCAAATAAGACATTCATTTCTTATTGAGATTTATCTGACATGATTTGCTAAGTTAATTACCATAGATGAATGAGAAAAGGAGAGGTGTATATAACTCATAAATGATGCACTAAAGCCAGCTGAAGAGCCAGTGACTTCACGGCACACTGCACAAAGTTTGTTGGAAGTTAAAATAGTGGAAACTAATGGGAAAATTGACTCATCACATAAGCACATAGTAATAAAGCACAGACATGCCAAATTCATTGAGTCTGAATTAATTTGAGATTAAATTTGATTGTGTAAGTGTATAAAATTTATAAGCATAAAGAGTTTATTCCTAGGTTTATATTTGTACATACCCATTTAAGTAACTTTATCCTAAATGCAATTTATGGCAATACTAGGAATTTAGGAGAATTCTTTTCAATATTTCAGAACCACTGCCCTAAAGCAGTTTATTCTGCAAAAGCATCACTTTCACAAGAATAAAAATGCTTCATGCTTTGGAAATTCAAGCTATCTTTTTTCATCAAAATGCTATAAAGCCAAGCATATTTTCAGCCTGGGGCAGGCAGATAAGCCACTCTGGACTGCCTATTAATGGAAGAACAATTCCTTGGAAGTCCTCTTAAGGCAACAGAGCTTCCACAGAACAGCAAGCAGCCTGCCTCAGCTGCTGAGCTGGCTCTGCTTCCTCATCGTCAGGTCCCTGCCGTCCTCACCAGTACAGCACACTACTTTATTGCCTAAGGTGTATAGTCCTTGAAAGTTCTACCTAGATCCTGAACACTAAGCAGTTTTCTTACTGGCATCACTAGTACCCAATCTAAGACCAAGGATTTGACTCTGTATCATCTTTGTTAGCCCTTCTAGAAAGAAGAAAGAAAGAAAGAAAGAAAGAGAGAGAAGGAAGGAAGGAAGGAAGGAAGGAAGGAAGGAAGGAAGGAAGGAAGGAAGGAAGGAAGGAAGGAAGGAAAGAGAGAGAGAGAGAGAAAGAAAGAAAGAAGGAAAGAAGGAAGGAAGGAAGGAAGGAAGGAAAGAAAGAAAGAGAAAGAAAGAAAGAAAGAAAGAAAGAAAGAAAGAAAGAAAGAAAGAGAAAGAAAGAAAGAGAAAAGGAAGGAAGGAAGAAAGAAAGGGAGGGAGGGAGGGAGGGAAAATCAATTTGCTTTTCCAAAAATCCATCTGAAGAGAACTTTAGATAATTTGATACTGCTCCGCCCCCACCCACCTTTTATTTTCATTCTCTCAACAAATATTTACTGCCTACCCATTATGTTCTAGCTGCAGCACTGATGGTGTACCTGAAACCTTCCACCTCTCTCTTTTCTTCCTTCTGACAATGATTTACAAGCTCTCGCTGGTACCAGTTAATATTTTCTGGCTGCAGATCTCAGTTTCCCCATCCTGTGGCCTTCACTGTTGTTGCCATCATGCCTGGCCATGCCTTGTCTCCTTGTTCCATTGATCTGGATAAGCAAGAAGGACTCTCTCACTAGTAAGATTACACACACTCCTTAACTTCCAAAAAGAAGGGTCTCATTCTCAGTTCTGCTGAATGACACAAGTGTGTCAACTGTTCTATCGTTTCCTAAAGCATCTTGCTCTTTTCCCATTAGAAACAGAACAACAACACTGCTTATGATAATTTCCCTGAGTACCTAGCTAGGAAACATTTTAAGCGGCACCAAGTAATTTTGTATTCCAAAGTCTTCATACCAAATCCATACATGAACCCTTGAACTGAATCCAAGCAGGGAAACTCTGTCACCTCCATGGGACTTAGTTACCTGCCTATTTTACCATTGCTCAGAAGGTTAAGGATGTTTCATTTAAAAATCTCTGTCCCAGAACTAACCAGCACCTCCAAAAGGTCTGGTTATGTCCTTATAAGAGTCTTTCTAGGCAAATGTCCCTCAATACATTTTGCATCACTTGATAAATATTGTATCAGGCATAAAGAGAAAATCTGAGCTGTAACCAAGCTATCTAAATTTTATTTGCCCAACCTTCAAATGCAATTATTCCCTAATTCCCTTTATGCTTCCCAATCTCAAAAAGGCCTCACATTTAAACAAAATGCACAAGAACACACATTCTCTACTGAACTCTAATCAAAGTTGCCACCTGTAAAAAGTAAGTAGTAGGCAGTAGTGGGAAGTATTTGCCTAGCACCTTACTACTTCCCTTTTGAGGGTTTAATGTGCTTTTTTTTTCTCCACTTCTAGTTCATAGAGGTGGGAATCAAGGTTTTCTCTTCAATCTACTGAAAATGAATAATGTTTCTAGTAAAGGAAAAAAACATTGTCTATAGTATCTTGCAATACAGTGTGAACGTCCTATGGAATGCCACATGACAACTTTAAAATTTCTGAATAGTTTTCCAAGTTACCAAATGCTACTTTTTCAACTAAAGACTATAGTCAATTTATCCATCAGTACCTTCTCATTTTATATTCCACCCCAAAAGGGGAAAAATAGCATCTGTGTAGCTCAGGACAAGAAATCTATTACTTTAAAAACTGGGTTCACAGGTCTCCGTAGCTGACTTTTCAAACCCTCTGTCATCAGTTTGGCTGCAGTTCCAGTATATTTTGGCCTATTCTACTGGCTTCAGCTCAGCTCACACTGAGACATATGGAGGGGGCTGAATTCAATATCAGGGTACGCAATTTATGAGCACTTATGATCATGCACCACCCACATACAATTAAACCTGAGAAGAAACCATGGCTATCCTCTGCTGCAATGTGAAAATCCCTGTCCTTCCCACACCTCACTTTTTCCAGGTTACCTTTTCCAAGGCGTGAGCACTTGCAGGCTGGAGCCAGGGAACGGGAAGTCATTTTTCACAGCCTGAAGCATTCCTTTGAGTTCAGCTGTACTGTAAGCAAGATTTTTTCCCCTATAGCTCTTTCCATTCCATGTCACAGTGAATTTTCACACAAAATTACAAACAACCAGAAAACCCTGACCACACATCAGCCATTCAACAATGAGAAGGCACAAAGGTGAGTGTACCTTAAGCTGAAAAAAAGAAAAAAAACAAAACAGTATGAAGAGGAAATGCCACAGCAGAGACCTACTGGGAATGAGTTGTATCTGGAATAAATGACTTCGCTTTTCATTCCCTAATCTGTTGTTTTAGGTTTCCTTCAGTTTCCATTTTACAAAATTGGCCTTTTGACACATCACATATCTGTCAACAGGACTCCCAGTAACTACTAACAGCATGATGGATTAGGGTCGATTAACAGACATCAGGCCAATAATCTAAGAAGTGGAGAGTTAAGGTTAAAAAAGAAAAGCACGTGGGTCAGAGCAAAGGATGGAGAGAATCTAGAGGGAAGCTTAGAGGAAGGGAATCCTGGTGGGCAGAGGCTAAGGTGAGTTGAGAAGTGACTGAGACGTAGAAGGCTAAGGAGCCCAGACATCTCAACAGAATTTGCCCCAACAGAGACATTCAGAGAAGTGGAACAAGAGACGGGATTTTCTCCAGAAGAGGTCCTGGGGCAGATTCTGGAGCAGCAACAGTTAGACTGGTATCCTGATTGTTTTGGATATTTGACCTACAACTGAGAGGAGCCTAGAGACACCTGATTGAGTGTTCACAGGTCTCTCAGTGTTAGTTTGGGGTAAGACAGGCCAATATGGCAAAGACCACATACACACTTAAGGATTAAAATGCACTGAGCTAACTGTAGGGAAATGCTATGTAACTGTAAGTTGCCTATATTTTTATAATTCTTCCAGTCCTCATCTTCATTCATTTAATACTTATTCAATGAGCTTCTACCACAGCGCTCATAATACCAGAGAGAAGAGAATACAGGCAGAGCCAATACTGCTGCCTGCAAATTATACTCAGTGAGATTATAATCTCTGCAATGGCACAGTCTTTGCTTTGCTCAGTTCTGTATTTTCATAACTTAAAATGTGTCTGGCACACAGTAAGTATTCACTAAATATTTGCTCGATGGATGACTAAAGCACGCTTATAGCCTAGAAATGGACTATCGATATTACTGTCACTAAAAGACTATGGTAAATGGGCTTTGCTTACCATAATGCTAACAGAATGAACAACGTTCTAAGTTCAAAGGACTTGTCACACAGGCAAGGTGAGGATGAAATTCTCATAACCTAAAAGAGAAAGAAATTTCTATTTCCTCCTATAGTGGATGTTCTGGAAGTGACCAGAACCCAGAGAAGCTGTCTTTGGATCTGTCCTTCTCTCAACATATGCACACAGACCATGGATAAGCAGCTCTTGATATATGAGCATATGAGCTGATGGTCAGGTGGTTCCCCATCCTGAGTTGAAGAGCCTGGCCTTGACTGTTATACTTGTCAGAAGCCTGGCAAGAAAAAGATCATTCATTCAAGTGGGTGACTGAGGAAAGTTTCAAGAAAGGGCTATTAGTAAATAGAGGACAGAGTTAAGGGAAACCAACCAGGGATGGTGGTGGGGGCTTTAATAAAGTCATTGAGACCTGACAAGAATTATAGTTGTAGAAAAGAACTGCCCAACAGGGGCTACTGCTCCAGAATGAGGAAAGCCGCCAGTGCCAAACTGTGGCCCAGACAGGAGGGATCCAGGAAATGCACACTTTGGTCTTTCTCTCCTCCAGCACTCTCATCTGCCATTGCCATTGCAACCAAAAGCCACTGGGCAGGGGAGCCTGGTTAAAGTGGTTCACAGACGTCAACCTCTCAGTGCACAGAGCTGGGTAGAGAAGAACAGAAAACAGATCGAGGCCAGGTGCGGTGGCTCACGCCTGTAATTTCAAGCACTTTGGGAGGCTGAGGCAGGTGGATTCTTGAGGTCGGAAGTTCATGACCAGCCTGGCCAATATGGTGAAAACCCATCTCTACTAAAAATACAAAAATTAGCCAGGCATGGTGGCGTACATCTGTAATCCTAGTTAGTTGGGAGGCTGAGGTGGTAGAACTGCTTGAACCCGGGAGGAAGAAGTTGTAGTGAGCCAAGATCGCAGCCTGGGTGACAAGAGCAAATTGTCTCAAAACAAAAAACAAAAAAAAAAAGGAAAAAAAAGAAAAAGAAAAAAAAAAGGAAACAGATCGAAAGGGACACAGAACATATATGTAACATAATAATATTTTTGTCTCTCTGTATCTACTTTTCCCTTTTGGTTGAAAAATGTATGCCTCCAATACAGAAAATACACAGGTCCAATCAGCTGATGCATCCTCATGAGGTGTTGTCAATTCACTCATATTCCCAAATATAACACACAAACACAGGCTACACTCAGTGTTCTCCAATAACAAAACACAGGAAGAAGAGATGGGGTGGGGGCAGGCAACACAAGCACAGTTCCTCCAGCCTCTGCTTTTGTACCTGGTCACAGGCCTAAGCAGATAATCACAGTTTCCTCCTTCTACTACCCATCCCCTGTTCCCTTTCCTCTCTGCAAGCACTTTGGCTAAATAAGTCTTTGTCTGGTAGTACAACTCAAACTTTATTTACACAAAATCCAAATCCATGGTTGTCCAGTATTTACAGGGATGCTGCAATTTTTTCATAGGCCAGTATGCTAGAGAAATACAAAGAGGAGCTTCAGTGAATTCTCTGGGCTCCGGACACAGTCAGTCCTGGTTGCTCCGACTGGATAACGGCAACTCATATTCTCCATCATACACAAGCTCCATCACTCAGGCCAGTAGAGTGTCTCATCTTTGCCATTGAGTCAGCAGCATGAGAAGCCAGTCTCAATTTCCCATTTAATGGAACCATGGCATCACCTCTTAGGCATTTTCTTCCCTTGGAAACTAGAGTGTCCAAAACCACCAATTCCAAGGTTGTAGAGGCAGGAAGAAACAATTCTTTAAGTGAGTTGTGAGGTATACTGGTGAGAAGGACCTGTTTAACCTCCACATCTTGATTTTTAAACCCATGAATTCTGGCTGTCAGGAAGACAGCACCCTATTTTGACCTCTGATTTGAGAGATACCTCATTGTCTCCCTGTAATTGCAACTGATCCTACATTAGTTTATTCCATAATGATACGAATAATGGGACAATGACTTTAGTGAGTGTAAACCCATTGCCACACTTTATTTGCCATTCAGTGAATATGATGGGATTAAATGGAAAAATATGTATCCTGTGAGTCTAGAAATGGTGGTACTGGTAGAATACGGGAGCAAAAAATAAAATGTGTATTTAAAATACATAGCTATTCCTTCAGAAAAAATGGCTGCTACCTCCAGATGGCCAAAGTCCAATAATACCCTAGTAGGTTGGTCCCCCTAGAGAACAATCCTGTATCAAAGGCTCAGCATTGGTCTTTGCCGTTGACAAGTTACATATTGAGCAGTGGCAGTAGCCACATCAGTCTTAATGAGGGGAAGATCAAATTGGTGAGCCTCAATTCCTGCTGCCATAGCAATTTTGCATAAGGGGCCTCTTTAGTAAGCACCAGACTAGCTGAGAAATATTTTGACCGACAGCCACAGGATGATTTCATCTTGTCCACCTCATTATCAAGAGCCTCTCAACAATGAAACGCTCTCTGGTGGGCATTTATATGGTAAAAGAGTATTATCTGCCTATTACTAGAAATCTGTCCTCATATATTTCTCCTTGTCACCAATCTTTACATCATGCTCTTTTAAAGTCCCTCAACAATTAGATTTTTCATCACAGCTCATGCAGATGTTGATACAAACCTTAAGCATCTTCTGGTGGCCTAAGTAAATGACCAAACGTTGTGCTTAAAATTCTTCTAATTGGAATAATTTACCTTCACCATGCTCTCTCAGGGCCACCCTAATTGGGACCTTAATGCAGTGGCTATCCACATCTGCTTTGGGCCTGCATATTTTAATACCTTTACATAAGTCAGGCCCAGGCATTTTCTGCCCCAGTCGCATGATTATAAAGAACTTACATAAGGCCAGAGTGTAAATTCAGAGGAGGTAATGTATCAGGAGTAGGTGTTGAAAGAGTGAGCCACCTGCTCGCCTTACACTCAGTTTTTACATACCATTTCCACTGACAAATTGCTGTTGCACTTTCTCACCTTTATGAGTAGTGGGTCAGATGACATCCAGTTTGCTACGGGGAGCCCAGATCACATGGTCACTTGATTTTTCATAGTCCGTGTAATGAATTATTGAATGGTGACTCGAAAAAATATATGTTCCCTCCAGTGAGAACACATGCACACAGGGAGGGGAACATCACATGCCGAGGCCTGTCAGGAGGTGGAGGAGAAAGGGGAGGGAGAGCATTAGGACAAATACCTAATGCATGTGGGGCTTCAAACCTAGACGGCAGGTTGATAGGTGTAGCATACCACCATGACACATGTATACCTATGTAACAAACCTGCACATTCAGCACATGTATCCTAGAACTTAAAGTAAAAAATTATGTGTGTGTGGGTGTTTGCATGTGTGTGTTCATTCCCCCAGAAACTGTGAATGTGCTCTTATTTGGAAAAAGTATTTTTTTAAAATTTATTTATTATTATTATACTTTAAGTTTTAGGGTACATGTGCACAATGTGCAGGTTAGTTACATATGTATACATGTGCCATGTTGGTGCGCTGCACCCACTAACTCGTCATCTAGCATTAGGTATATCTCCCAATGCTATCCCTCCCCCCTCCCACCACCCCACAACAGTCTCCAGAGTGTGATGTTCCCCTTCCTGTGTCCATGTGCTCTCATTGTTCAGTTCCCACCTACGAGTGAGAATATGCGGTGTTTGGTTTTTTGTTCTTGCGATAGTTTACTGAGAATGATGATTTCCAATTTCATCCATGTCCCTACAAAGGACATGAACTCATCATTTTTTATGGCTGCATAGTATTCCATGGTGTATATGTGCCACATTTTCTTAATCCAGTCTATCATTGTTGGACATTTGGGTTGGTTCCAAGTCTTTGCTATTGTGAATAATGCTGCAATAAACATACATGTGCATGTGTCTTTATAGCAGCATGATTTACAGTCCTTTAAGTATATACCCAGTAATGGGATGGCTGGGTCAAATGGTATTTCTAGTTCTAGATCCCTGAGGAATTGCCACACTGACTTCAACAATGGGTGAACTAGTTTACAGTCCCACCAACAGTGTAAAAGTGTTCCTATTTCTCCACATCCTCTCCAGCACCTGTTGTTTCCTGACTTTTTAATGATTGCCATTCTAACTGGTGTGAGAGGGTATCTCATTGTGGTTTTGATTTGCATTTCTCTGATGGCCAGTGATTGTGAGCATTTTTTCATGTGTTTTTTGGGTGCATACATGTCTTCTTTTGAGAAGCGTCTGTTCATGTCCTTCGCACACTTTTTGATGGGGTTGTTTGTTTTTTTCTTGTAAATTTGTTTGAGTTCATTGTAGATTCTGGATATTAGCCCTTTGTCAGATGAGTAGGTTGCAAGAATTTTCACCCATTTTGTAGGTTGCCTGTTCACTCTGATGGTAGTTTCTTTTGCTGTGCAGAAGCTCTTTAGTTTAATTAGATCCCAGTTGTCAATTTTGGCTTTTGTTGCTATTGCTTTTGGTGTTTTAGACATGAAGTCCTTGCCCATGCCTATGTCCTGAATGGTAATGCCTAGGTTTTCTTCTAGGGTTTTTATGGTTTTAGGTCTAACGTTTAAGTCTTTAATCCATCTTGAATTGATTTTTGTATAAGGTGTAAGGAAGGGATCCAGTTTCAGCTTTCTACATATGGCTAGCCAGTTTTCCCAGCACCATTTATTAAATAGGGAATCCTTTCCCCATTGCTTGTTTTTCTCAGGTTTGTCAAAGATCAGATAGTTGTAGATATGCGGCATTATTTCTGAGGGCTCTGTTCTGTTCCATTGATCTATATCTCTGTTTTGGTACCAGTACCATGTTGTTTTGGTTACTGTAGCCTTGTAGTATAGTTTGAAGTCAGGTAGTGTGATGCCTCCAGCTTTGTTCTTTTGGCTTAGGATTGACTTGGCAATGCGGGCTCTTTTTTGGTTCCATATGAACTTTAAAGTAGTTTTTTCCAATTCTGTGAAGAAAGTCATTGATAGCTTGATGGGGATGGCATTGAATCTGTAAATTACCTTGGGCAGTATGGCCATTTTCACAATATTGATTCTTCCTACCCATGAGCATGGAATGTTCTTCCATTTGTTTGTATCCTCTTTTATTTCCTTGAGCAGTGGTTTGTAGTTCTCCTTGAAGAGGTCCTACACATCCCTTGCAAGCTGGATTCCTAGGTATTTTATTCTCTTTGAAGCAATTGTGAATGGGAGTTCACTCATTATTTGGCTGTTTGTCTGTTGTTGGTGTATAAGAATGCTTGTGATTTTTGTACATTGATTTTGTATCCTGAGACTTTGCTGAAGTTGTTTATCAGCTTAAGGAGATTTTGGGCTGAGACAATGGGGTTTTCTAGATATACAATCATGTCATCTGCAAACAGGGACAATTTGACTTCTTCTTTTCCTAATTGAATAACCTTTATTTCCTTCTCCTGCCTGATTGCCCTGGCCAGAACTTCCAACACTATGTTGAATAGGAGTGGTGAGAGAGGGCATCCCTGTCTTGTGCCAGTTTTCAAAGGGAATGCTTCCAGTTTTTGCCCATTCAGTATGATATTGGCTGTGGGTTTGTCATAGGTAGCTCTTATTATTTTGAAATACGTCCCATCAATACCTAATTTATTGAGAGTTTTTAGCATGAAGGTTATTGAATTTTGTCAAAGGCCTTTTCTGCATCTATTGAGATAATCATGTGGTTTTTGTCTTTGGTTCTGTTTATATGCTGGATTACATTTATTGATTTGCGTATATTGAACCAGCCTTGCATCCCAGGGATGAAGCTGACTTGATCATGGTGGATAAGCTTTTTGATGTGCTGCTGGATTCGGTTTGCCAGTATTTTATTGAGGATTTTTGCATCAATGTTCATCAAGGATATTGGCCTGAAATTATCTTTTTTGGTTGTGTCTCTGCCTGGCTTTGGTATCAGGATGATGCTGGCCTCATAAAATGAGTTAGGGAGGATTCCCTCTTTTTCTATTGATTGGAATAGTTTCAGAAGGAATGGTACCAGTTCCTCCTTGTACCTCTGGTAGAATTCGGCTGTGAATCCATCTGGTCCTGGACTCTTTTTGGTTGGTAAGCTATTGATTATTGCCACAGTTTCAGATCCTGTTATTGGTCTATTCAGAGATTCAACTTCTTCCTGGTTTAGTGTTGGGAGAGTGTATGTGTCCAGAAATTTATCCATTTCTTCTAGATTTTCTAGTTTATTTGCGTAGAGGTGTTTGTAATATTCTCTGATGGTAGTTTGTATTTCTGTGGGATTGGTGGTGATATCCCCTTTATCATTTTTATTGTGTCTATTTGATTCTTCTTTTTTTCTTTATTAGTCTTGCTAGCAGTCTATCAATTTTGTTGATCCTTTCAAAAAACCTGCTCCTGGATTCATTAATTTTTTGAAAGGTTTTTTGTGTCTCTATTTCCTTCAGTTCTGCTCTGATTTTAGTTATTTCTTGCCTTCTGCTAGCTTTTGAATGTGTTTGCTCTTGCTTTTCTAGTTCCTTTAATTGTGATGTTAGGGTGTCAGTTTTGGATCTTTCCTGCTTTCTCTTGTGGGCATTTAGTGCTATAAATTTCCCTCTACACACTGCTTTGAATGCGTCCCAGAGATTCTGGTATGTTGTGTCTTTGTTCTCATTGCTTTCAAAGAACATCTTTATTTCTGCCTTCATTTCATTATGTACCCAGTAGTCATTCAGGAGCAGGTTGTTCCGTTTCCACGTAGTTGAGCAGTTTTGAGTGAGTTTCTTAATCCTGAGTTCTAGTTTGATTGCACTGTGGTCTGAGAGATACTTTGTTATAATTTCTGTTCTTTTACATTTGCTGAGGAGAGCTTTACTTCCAAGTATCGTCAATTTTGGAATAGGTGTGGTGTGGTGCTGAAAAAAATGTATATTCTGTTGATTTGGGGTGGAGAGTTCTGTAGATGTCTATTAGGTCTGCTTGGTGCAGAGCTGAGTTCAATTCCTCTGTAACCTTGTTGACTTTCTGTCTCGTTGATCTGTCTAATGTTGACAGTGGGGTGTTAAAGTCTCCCATTATTATTGTGTGGGAGTCTAAGTCTCTTTGTAGGTCACTCAGGACTTGCTTTATGAATCTGGGTGCTCCTGTATTGGGTTCATATATATTTAGGATAGTTAGCTCTTCTTGTTGAATTGATCCCTTTACCATTATGTAATGGCCTTCTTTGTCTCTTTTGATCTTTGTTGGTTTAAAGTCTGTTTTATCAGAGACTAGGATTGCAACCCCTGCCTTTTTTTGTTTTCCATTTGCTTGGTAGATCTTCCTCCATCCTTTTGAGCCCATGTGTGTCTCTGCACGTGAGATGGGTTTCCTGAATACAGCACACTGATGGATCTTGACTCTTTATCCAATTTGCCAGTCTGTGTCTTTTAATTGGAGCATTTAGTCCATTTACATTTAAAGTTAATATTGTTATGTGTGAATTTGATCCTGTCATTATGATATTACCTGGTTATTTTGCTCGTTAGTTGATGCAGTTTCTTCCTAGTCTCGATGGTCTTTACATTTTGGCATGATTTTGCAGTGGCTGGTACCAGTTGTTCTTTTCCATGTTTAGTGCTTCCTTCAGGAGTTCTTTTAGGGCAGGCCTGGTGGTGACAAAATCTCTCAGCATTTGCTTGTCTGTAAAGTATTTTATTTCTCCTTCACTTATGAAGCTTAGTTTGGCTGGATATGAAATTCTGGGTTGAAAATTCTTTTCTTTAAGAATGTTGAATATTGGTCCCCACTCTCTTCTGGCTTGTAGAGTTTCTGCAGAGAGATCCACTGTTAGTCTGATGGGCTTCCCTTTGAGGGTAACCCGACCTTTCTCTCTGGCTGCCCTTAACATTTTTTCCTTCATTTCAACTTTGGTGAATCTGACAATTATGTGTCTTGGAGTTGCTCTTCTCGAGGAGTATCTTTGTGGAGTTCTCTGTATTTCCTGAATCTGAATGTTGGCCTGCCTTGCTAGACTGGGGAAGTTCTCCTGGATAATATCCTGCAGAGTGTTTTCCAACTTGGTTCCATTCTCCCTGTCACTTTCAGGTACACCAATCAGATGTAGATTTGGTCTTTTCACATAGTCCCATATTTCTTGGAGACTTTGTTCGTTTCTTTTTATTCTTTTTTCTCTAAACTTCCCTTCTCGCTTCATTTCATTCATTTCATCTTCCATCACTGATACCCTTTCTTCCAGTTGATCACATCAGCTCCTGAGGCTTCTGCATTCTTCATGTAGTTCTCGAGCCTTGGTTTTCAGCTCCATCAGCTCCTTTAAGCACTTCTCTGTATTGGTTATTCTAGTTATACATTCTTCTAAATTTTTTTCAAAGTTTTCAACTTCTTTGCCTTTGGTTTGAATGTCCTCCCATAGCTCAGAATAATTTGATCATCTGAAGCCTTCTTCTCTCAGCTCATCAAAGTCATTCTCCATCCAGCTTTGTTCCGTTGCTGGTGAGGAGCTGCGTTCCTTTGGAGGAGGAGAGGTGCTCTGCTTTTTAGAGTTTCCAGTTTTTCTGCTCTGTTTTTTCCCCATCTTTGTGGTTTTATCTACTTTTGGTCTTTGATGATGGTGATGTACAGATGGGTTTTTGGTGTGGATGTCCTTTCTGTTTGTTAGTTTTCCTTCTAACAGATGGGACCCTCAGCTGCAGGTCTGTTGGAGTACCCGGCTGTGTGAGGTGTCAGTCTGCCCCTGCTTGGGGGTGCCTCCCTGTTAGGCTGCTCAGGGGTCAGCGGTCAGGAACCCACTTGAGGAGGCAGTCTGCCCGTTCTCAGATCTCCAGCTGCCTGCTGGGAGAACCACTGCTCTCTTCAAAGCTATCAGACAGGGACATTTAAGTCTGCAGAGGTTACTGCTGTCTTTTTGTTTGTCTGTGCCCTGCCCCCAGAGGTGGAGCCTACAGAGGCAGGCAGGCCTCCTTGAGCTGTGGTGGGATCCACCCAGTTTGAGCTTCCTGGCTGCTTTGTTTACGTAAGCAAGCCTGGGCAATGGCGGGCACCCCTCCCCCAGCCTCGCTGCCACCTTGCAGTTTGATCTCAGACTGCTGTGCTAGCAATCAGCGAGACTCCATGGGCGTAGGACCCTCCGAGCCAGGTGGGGGATATAATCTCCTGATGCGCCATTTTTTAAGCCCATCGGAAAAGCGCAGTATGCAGGGGGGAGTGACCCGATTTTCCAGGTGCCGTCTGTCACCCCTTTCTTTGACTAGGAAAGGGAACTCCCTGACCCCTTGCACTTTCCGAGTGAGGCAATGCCTCGCCCTGCTTCAGCTCGTGCACGGTGCGCTCCACCCACTGTCCTGCGCCCACTGTCTGGCACTCACTAGTGAGATGAACCCAGTACCTCAGATGGAAATGCAGAAATCACCCATCTTCTGCGTCGCTCACGCTGGGAGCTGTAGACCGGAGCTGTTCCTATTCGGCCATCTTGGCTCCTCCGGAATCGGAAAAAGTATTTTTTCAGACAGAATTAATTCAAAGACTTTGAGAAAAGATCATCCTGGATTACTGGGTATCCCCAAAATCCAATGACAAGGGACAGAAAAGACAGAGAGGAAAGGGCGACATGAAGACTGAGGCAAAGACTGGAGTTATGTAGTCCCAGCCAAGGAATTCTTAGTACAGCAGAACCTGGAAGAGGAAAGGGAAGATCGTCTCCTAGAACCTTCAGAGGGAATGTGACCCTACTGACAGACCTTACAGATTTCCAGCCTCTAGAATTGTGAGAGAACAAACTTCTGCTATTTTAAGCCACCAAGTTTGAGATAACTTGTTACCACAACCACCAAACAACCAATATGGGCAGGGATTTAGCTTCCACTCAAGACCAGAAGCAAAGCAGATGCTGTTTAAAGGGAGAATAGTTATCTACAAAAAGGATCTTGATTATACTCCAAAACACTAGAAGCCTACACTATGATTCTCCTACTGGGGATTGCAAAAGATACACAGGATAAGGCTAATTGCCTCAGAGGTGACTGAGAGGAGCAGGACTTCTTCCCTAGACAATAAAGGATCTGGGAAATTTTGAGGTTCACACTCCTCAATCCTCTTTGTGTTTGCCCAAACATCCCCATGCCGTATCTCAGGGATCCACTTGTTTTCCACGTATGCCTTTATCTTACTACATGAGACCAAGTAGTATTGCATATTTGATGATGCACTGACTTCTTTCAGGGTGATTAATTTGCCCAGTATCATAGAGGTGTTAAGTGTCAGAGTTGAGATGTCAATCCCAGGTGGATTTGAATCCTCAGCACATGTACCTTCTATTTCACCAAGTTGCAAGTCCCTAGAGATCTATGTTACAGGGGAAAGGTGAATGGATACAGAAAATGTGTTTATCCTCAGATGATCTCCAATCATGTTTGTCTGCAGCTGTAGGAGGCAAATGTTTTTAAAGCTACCCTGGGCTAGAGATATTTACCTTGCCTGTATATAAGATAAAAAATTCTTTAAATACTTCTGAAGAACTGTTTGATTTTCTACTAACGACCTGAGTTGGGCATTCAAGGCTAATAATTTGTCCTTTTCTCTGTTCATGTTCTCTAGGATTTCATAAGTAGCCAGCCCATGGCATGGTCTATGTAATCTAAATCACCTGACAAAACAACTAATGCCACAGCCACATGATCTCCTAATGCCTTGCCCTTCACCTGCACTCCATCCCATGTAATAGCTGTTGATAGTTTGAGTAATTGTTATTCTGTCATATACTGTGTCCTCTATTTCACTCTGGCAAGGAGATTATCTGTGCCCTGTGCCTTCATCAAATATATGAGCAACATAATTGCACAATCCCATTCTGAGGATCTCTTTTCTAGAACAAAACCTGGTTTCATTTACTCGATCGGTCAAGTTCCCAGCAGCAAACAAATACTACAATCAAAAGAGATAACTAAAGACAGTTTAATAAAGGGGCATTTGCAAAAGTTTGGGCAAGATTGTGATAAACCAACAAGAAATGGTAAAGTCCCTGAGCTAGTAAGAGTGGAATGCTGTTTCCACCTCAAGGCTTGAACATACAAGGGAAGAAATATTTGCTGGGACTTGGGGAGAGCTGAGACTATAGGTGAAATCCATCCAGCAGGAGCTAGTGCTTGCGGTGTGGGAAACCAGCCACTGAAAAATAGCAGACAGGAAGGGAGCCAGGGGACTACATGTCCTGACATTTCTTCCCTCACACCTTCCAGTCTCCTGCTGATGCCTCCCAATGGACAAACCCAATCAGAAGCTGAAGGAGAAGGGAGCCAGTCAGTTTATGGAACCCAAGGAAGTCAACCTCACAAGGCAGAGCAGGGCTGAGAAGGCTGGACAATGGATCAGTGGGAAAGGGGAGGAGGGGAAAGAAAATGTCCAGCAAGGTCTTTTACTGACCAGATTTGGGAGTCAAGAACACACTCATATAGCAATAACGAATATGTCAATCCTCTGTTCTGACACAGTCATTGATTGGGGTGTGAATCAAGCATGGTGGAACCAGACTGTCTTGCCCTTTATCTCCTGATCTTTCCCTCTATGAGTCTCCAAAGAGAAGGAGGCAAACCCCATGCCACTGACTAAGGCTGAACTCACGTCTCTGTGTGCACCTTTTCCCTATTAAACAAATTTCTAGGTGCTAGGAAGGTGCATATGCTTAGGAATCAAACATACCTGGACCTGAATCTCAGCATTGGCATTTACAACCTACATGATACTTGGCAAATTAGTCACTTTGAACATTAGTTACTGAGTTTGTATAATTTGGAATAATAACACCCTAATAAAAAATGTTGCAAAAAATAAAGGAAACAATGGAAAGTTCTTAACAGGGTTTTTCACACATGGTAAACACTCTTTTAAATATTCCTTTTCCATCATTGACCTTTTTCTTGTGTTGCCGTAACCACCACTTAAAGTACATTTGTAACTCACTTTATGAAACAATGCATTCCAAGTTTCAGATAAGCAGCTTATAAAAGAATCTCTTTAACCCAACTTAGTTTTGAGAAGAGTTTGTATTTAGGTGAGACTGTCAAGGAGACTGGATCCTAAAGACTAGTTGATGATATTTTCAGAAGTGACAGGATCACTCTAACTGGTATAAGGTTAATTCTCTCTGCAAGAAATAAATACATTATTAAGAAAGCCACATAAGAAAGAGAAGTAACTCCAAACCTACACAAATACTGTAAAGACAATGCTCTGGAAGAACATACGCAAAACTATTAACCATGGTTAATCTCAGAAACCAGAGTGGGATTGGAGGCTGTGAGCAGAAAACTAGACTCACTTATTTCTCTGTACCTTTCAACGCTGTTTAAATATTTTAAAATAAACATGCATGCTCATTCTGCCTAACTTTTTACAACATTTAAATTTTGTATGGTTGAAGTGCAAGGCAAGATGTCAATGTGGTAGACTTATAGACTAAGCAAAATGACTGCTGGAAGGAAACGTAATAAACTATAAAAAAGAAATGATGATATATGGTCCAGTTCCAAGATGGCCAAGTAGGAACAGCTCTAGTCTGCAGCTCCCAGCGTGATCAATGCAGAAGATGGGTGACTTCTGCATTTCCAACTGAGGTACCTGGTTCATCTCATTAGTACTGGTTGGACAGTGGGTGCAGCCCACATAGGGCGAGCTGAAGCAGGGCGGGGCATCACCTCACTGGGAAGTACAAGGGGTAGGGGGATTTCCCTTTCCTAGCCAAGCAAAGCCGTGACAGACTGTACCTGGAAAAACTGGACACTCCCACCCAAATACTGCACTTTTTCCACAGTCTTAGCAACCGGCAGACCAGGAGATTCTCTCCCGTGCCTGGCTTGGTGGGTCCCATGCCCATGGAGCCTTGCTCACTGCTAGCACAGCAGCCTGAGATCAACCTGCGAGGCTGCAGCCTGAAGTCTGCCATTGCTGAGGCTTGAGTAGGTATACAAAGCAGCCAGGAAGCTTGAACTGGGTGGAGCCCACCACAGCTCAGCAAGGCCTAGTGCCTCTATAGACCTCTGCAGGCAGGGCATTGCTGAACAAAGCGCAGCAGAAATTTCTGCAGACTTAAATGTCCCTGTCTGACAGCTCTGAAGAGAGCAGTGGTTCTCCCAGCATGGCATTTCAGCACTGAGAATGCACAGACTGCCTCCTCAAGTGGGTCCCTGACCCCCATGTAGCCTAACTGGGAGACACCTTCCAGCAGGGGCCGACAGACACCTCATACAGGTGAGTGCCCCTCTGGGATGAAGCTTTCAGCGGAAAGGTCAGGCAGCAATATTTGCTGTTCTGCAGCCTCCACTGGTGATACCCAGGCAAACATCGTCTGGAGTGGACCTCCAGCAAACTCCAACAGACCTGCACCTGAGAGACCTGACTGTTAGAAGGAAAACTAACAAACAGAAAGGAATAACATCAACATCAACATCGATAAAAAGGACAACCACACCAAAACCCCATCTGTAGGTCACCAACATCAAAGACCAAAGGTAGATAAAACCACAAAGATGGGGAGAAACCAGAGCAGAAAAGCTGAAAATTCTAAAAACCAGAGCATCTCTTCTCCTCCAAAGGATCGCAGCTCCTCGGCAGCAACAGAACAAAGCTGGACACAGAATGACTTTGAAAAGTTGACAGAAGTAGGCTTCAGAAGGTCAGTAATAACAGACTTCTCCAAGCTAAAGGAGGATGTTCGAACCCATCGCAAGGAAGCTAAAAACCTTGAAAAACGGTTAGACAAATGGCTAACTAGAATAAACAGCATAGAGAAGACCTGAAATGACCTGATGGAGCTGAAAACCATGGCACAAGAACTTCGTGACACATGTACAAGCTTCAATAGCCGATTCGATCAAGTGAAAGAAAGGATATCAGTGATTGAAGATAAATTAATGAAATAAAACAAGAAGACAAGATTAGAGAAAAAAGAGTAAAAAGAAATGAACAAAGCCTCTGAGAAATATGGGACTATGTGAAAAGACCAAATCTACATTTGATTGGTGTACCTGAAAGTGACAGGAAGAAGGGAACAAGTTGGAAAACACTCTTCAGGATATTATCCAGGAGAACTTCCCCAACCTAGCAAGACAGGCCAACATTCACATTCAGGAAATACAGAGTACAACACAAAGATACTCCTCAAGAAGAGCAACCCCAAGACACATAATTGTCATATTCACCTAGGTTGAAATGAAGGAAAAAATGTTAAGGGCAGCCAGAGAGAAAGGTCGGGTTACCCACAAAGGGAAGCCCATCAGACTAACAGCAGATCTCTCTGCAGAACCCTACAAGCCAGAAGAGAGTGGGGGCCAATATTCAACATTCTTAAAGAATTTTCAACCCAGAATTTCATATCCAGCCAAACTAAGCTTCATAAGTGAAGGAGAAATAAAATCCTTTACAGGCAAGCAAATGCTGAGAGATTTTGTCACCACCAGGCCTGCCCTACAAGACTTCCTGAAGAAAGCACTAAACATGGAAAGGAACAACCGGTACCAGCCTCTGCAAAAACATACCAAATTGTAAAGACCATCGATGCTATGAAGAAACTGCATCAATTAATGGGCAAAATAACCAGCTAACCTCATAATGCCAGGATCAAATTCACACATAACAATATTAACCTTAAATGTAAATGGGCTAATAGCCCCAATTAAAAGACACAGACTGGCAAATTAGATAAAGAGTCAAGACCCATCAGTATGCTATATTCAGGAGACTCATCTCATGTGCAGAGACACAAATAGGCTCAAAATAAAGGGATGGAGGAAGATCTAACAAGCGAATAGAAAGCAAAAAAAAAAGCAGGGGTTGCAATCCTAGTCTCTGATAAAACAGACTTTAAACCAACAAACATCAAAAGAGACACAGAAGGCCATTACATAACGGTAAAGGGATCAACTCAACAAGAAGAGCTAACTATCCTAAATATATATGCACCCAATAAAGGAGCACCCAGATTTGTGAAGCAAGTCCTTAGAGACCTACAAAGAGACTTAGACTCCCACACAATAATAATGGGAGACTTTAACACTCCACTGTCAATATTAGACAGATCAATGAGACAGAAGGTTAACAAGGATATCCAGGACGTTAATTCACCACTGCACCAAGTAGACCTAATAGACATCTACAGAACTCTTCATCCCAAATCAATACAATATACATTCGTCTCAGCACCACACTGCACTTATTCTAAAATTGACGACATAATTGGAAGTAAAGCACTCCTCAACAAATGTAAAAGAACAGAAATCACACTGTCTCTCAGACCACAGTGCAATCAAATTAGATTTCAAGATTCAGAAATTCACTCAAAACCACAGAACTACATGGAAACTCAACAACCTGCTCCTGAATGACTACTGGGTACATAAAGAAATGAAGGTAGAAATAAATAATTTCTTTGAAACCAGTAAGAACAAAGACACATCGTACCAGAATCTCTGGAACACATTTAAAGCAGTGTATAGAGGGAAACGTATAGCACTAAATGCCCACAAGAGAAAGGAGCAAAGATCTAAAATCGACACACTAACATCACAATTGAAAGAACTAGAGAAGCAAGAGCAAACAAATTCAAAAGCTAGCGGAAGGCAAGAAATAACTAAGATCAGAGCAGAACTGAAGGAGATAGAGACACAAAAACCCTTCAAAAAATCAGTGAATCCAGGAGCTGGTTTTTTGAAAAGATGAAAAAAATTGATAGACTGCTGGCAAGACTAATAAAGAAAACAGAGAAGAATCAAATAGACACAATAAAAAATGATAAATGGGATATCACCACTGATCCCACAGAAATACAGACTACCATCAGAGAATACTATAAATACCTCCATGCAAATAAACTAGAAAATCTAGAAGAAATGGATAAATTTCTGGACACATACACCCTCCCAAGACTAAACCAGGAAGAAGTTGAATCCCTGAATAGACCAATAACAGGCTCTGAAATTGAGGCAATAATTAAGAGCCTACCAACGAAAAAAAAGTCCAGGACCAGACGGATTCACAGCCCAATTCTACTAGAGGTACAAAGAGGAGCTGATATCATTCCTTCTGAAACTATTCCAACCAACAGAAAAAGAGGGAATCCTCCCTAACTCATTTTATGAGGCCAGCATCATCCTGATACCAAAGCCTGGCAGAGGCACAACAAAACAAGAGAATTTTAGACCAGAATCCCTGATGAACATCATATGAAAATCCTCAATAAAATACTGGCAAACCGAATCCAGCAGCACATCAAAAAGCTTATCCACCATGATCAAGTGGGCTTCATCCCTGGGATGCAAGGCTGGTTCAACATATGCAAATCAATAAACATAATCCATCACATAAACAGAACCAACAACAAAAACCACATGATTATCTCAATAGAGGCAAAAAAGGCCTTTAACAAAATCCAACAGCCCTTCACCCTAAAAACTCCAAATTAGGTATTGATGGGACGTATCTCAAAATAATAAGGGCTATTTATGAAAAATCCACAGCCAATATCATACTGAAGCAGCAAAAACTGGAAGCATTCCCTTTGAAAACAGGCACAAGACAAGGATGCCCTCTCTCACCACTCCTATTCAACATAGTGTTGGAAGTTCTGGCCAGGGCAGTCAGGCAAGATAAAGAAATAAACGGTATTCAGTTAGGAAAAGAAGAAGTCATATTGTCCCTGTGTGCAGATGACATGATTGCATATTTAGAAAACCCCATTGTCTCAGCCCAAAATCTCCTTAAGCTGATAAGCAACTTCAGCAAAGTCTCAGGATACAAAATCAATATGCAAAAATCACAAGGATTCCTATACACCAATAACACACGGTCAAATCATGAGTGAACTCCCATTCACAATTGCTACAAAGTGAATAAAATACCTAGGAATACAACTTACAAGGGATGTGAAGGACCTCTTCAAGGAGAGCTACAAACAATTGCTCGACAAAATAAAAGAGGACACAAACAAAATGGAAGAACATTCCATGCTCATGGATAGGAAGAATCAATATCATGAAAATGGCCATACTACCCAAGGTAATTTATATATTGAATGCCATGCCCATCAAGCTACCAATGACTTTCTCCACAGAATTGAAAAAAACTACTTTAAAGTGCATATGGAACCAAAAAACAGCCTGCATAGCCAAGACAATCCTAAGCAAAAAGAACAAAGCTGGAGGCATCAAGCTATCTGACTTCAAACTATACTACAAGGCTACAGTAACCGAAACAGCATAGTACTGGTACCAAAACAGAGATACAGACCAATAGAACAGAACAGAGGCCTCGGAAATACCACCATACATCTACAACTGTCTGATCTTTGACAAACCTGTCAAAAACAAGAAATAGGGAAAGGATTCCCTACTTAATAAATGGTGCTGGGTAAACTGGCTAGCCACATGTAGAAAGCTGAAACTGGATCCCTTCCTTACACCATACACAAAAATTAATTCAAGATGGATTAAAGACTTAAATGTTAGACCTAAAACCATAAAAACCCTAGAAGAAAACCTAGGCAATACCATTCAGGACATAGGCACGGGCAAAGGCTTCATGACTAAAATACCAAAAGCAATGGCAACAAAAGCCAAAATAGACAAATGAGATCTAATTAAACCAATGAGCTTCGGCATGTCAAAAGAAACTATCATCAGAGTGAACAAGCAACCTACAGAATGGGAGAAAATTTTTGCAATCTACCCTTCTGACAAAGGGCTAATATCCAGAATCTACAAAGAACTTAATTTTACAAGAAAAAAAATCAAACAACCCCGTCAAAAAGTGGGCAAAGGATATGAACAGACACTTCTCAAAAGAAGACATTTATGCAGCCAACAGACACATGAAAAAAAGCTTATCACTGGTCATCAGAGAAATGCAAATCAAAACCACAATGAGATACCATCTCATGCCAGCTGGAATGGTGTTCATTAAAAAGTCAGGAAACAACAGACACTGGAGAGGATGTGGAGAAACAGAAAGTCTTTTACACTGTTGGTGGGAGTGTAAATTAGTTCAACCATTGTGGAAGACAGTGTGGTGATTCCTCAAGGATCTAGAACTAGAAATACTATTTGGCCCAGCGATCCCATTGCTGGGTATTTATCCAAAGGATTGTAAATCATGCTGCTATAAAAACACATGCACATGTATGTTTATTGCGGCACTATTCACAATAGCAAGGACTGGGAACCAACCCAAGTGTCCATCAATAATAGACTGGATTAAGAAAATGTGGCACATATATATCATGGAATACTATGCAGCCATAAAAAAGGATGAGTTCATGTCCTTTGCAGGGAAATGGATGAAGCTGGAAACCATCATTCTTAGCAAACTATCACAAGGACAGAAAACCAAACACCACATGTTTCCACTCACAGGTAGGAATTGAACAATGAAAACACTTGGATACAGGGCAGGGAACATCACACACCAGGGCTAGTTGGGGGGTGGGGGGCTGGGGGAGGGATAGCATTAAGAGAAATACTTAATGTAAATGAGGAGTTGATGGGTGCAGCAAACCAACATGGCACATATATACCTATGTAACAAACCTGCACGTTGTGCACATGTATCCTTGAACTTAAAGTATAATTTTTTAAAAAATGATATATAATAAATAAGATGATGTATGGCTCATTTATTTACCAAAGGGGAAAAGTATTTTAATGATTTAGCATATGTTATGTAAGCTAATGCTGCCAGCCGTTGTATCACACTGAGTTCCAGGAGGCTGTATCTGTTTATTCTTATTCATCTTGAACAGCTAGTCTAATAAATGTTACATGCTCGGGTAACTACTGTATGAATAATGCATGTTTTTAAGTTAAGAGACAGAGTGGTATGTTGAAAACAATTAAATCAATTGTGAGCACTTGACAAGTCTGCTGAGTCTCAGTCCTCTCATCAATAAAATGGGAGGTCTCATAATACTAGTAGTTCCCAGATTATGATTTCAGTAAGCCTATGAGTGCCTACAGTTTTGAGAACCAATATTAAGTCTCCAATTCTTCCTTATACCAAGTTAGGATTTTAAAAACCATCATCATTTGTCACTTTTTTTTAATATGTTTATTTTAACACAAAAAAGAGATAATTCACAATAAAAACAGTCCTAAGTTCTTTTCCTAAGAAAAAACAATTGACAAATTTACACTGGTGTATGCACATACACACATATAGATGCACGCAATATTGTATAATAAATTTAACAAAGATTCACAGATTTTGAATCAGAGGACTAAATGAACTCTAGATTCTCTCCATATCTAAGATTTTGTAAAATTTAATTTTTTAAATTTCCTTAACGTTTTAATTTTCCAACTAAAAAAAGTGCTTGTTAAAAAAAAATCCAAACAAGACTGATACGTATGAAGTAGAAAGTAAATGCCTACCACAACTCCCTCTCCACTCCCACTCCCCAAGTTTACCACAATTAAATTGAGGTACACACCTTCTAGGCTATTTTCCATGAAAATATAAACATACATTGGTTCATAGCTTTTTTTTTTAAATAAATAGAACTTATTCTAAACTGCCTATAAGTTTTCAAAGTAGGGAGCTAGATACGTTGTAATGGTCAACTGAATTGAATGTCATTAACATTTAGGGAAAATATTTTGGGAACTCAGTTGAGGCAAGCACCTCTTTGTCTTACACTCATTGTAGTTGGGCATGAGGCTTGAGTTTGCAATTCACTCCCATGTGCTGTGCATAAGATCCCCAGAATGGCTGCCAAAAAAGAAGATAAAAAGCTGGTAGTGTCCAGAGTCAAGAAATCAGCTAGATATTTGAAACAGAACTGAAAGGGGTCAGTCTTGTCATGCTCTGGGGAGAACCAGAAGTCCAAGGAAAGAAACCAGGGTTTTGAAATGGCGTAATGGCCCCCGCATCAGTGAGCCCAACACCTATGGCTGTGTTTGGGGGCACAGCCTTAGTGAACGAGAGCACCTTTAGTTTCTGGAAGCTCATTATCATCTACTAATTCTCTAAAAGCAGAGCTGGAAAGCACCTGGAGAGACCAAAGGACCCTCTGGGAGGCCGGAGCTACAGCTCCATAATGTCGTTACATGAGGTCTTTTCCTATGTGAAAAAAAATTGTGAAAACAAATCTGAAAGGTTTTGAACCACTGAGTCAGGAATCCAGCTTTGGTTGCAGACACTGGCCATCTTTTCATGTATTCAGGCAAATAGAAGAAAAAGTAAAAGCTATCGGCTTGAATTGGAACATAAATGATCCTTATTAACTCTCACCATTTATTCAAATTTAGCAAATGAGTCCATATTTCAACTGGGTTCAAACAACATCAAGGTATAGAGTTCATTTCTTTATTCTTTAAATACGACAAATGTTGATATTTAATGCACAATACATGAGAAAGGAAAAAAGAACCAGTCACGTGGTATGCATTTGGACAAATATATTCTGTGTGCAAGTAATTTCCTCACCTATAGAAGTAATGGCAAATACCTGGCTCGCATGACACTGTCAACATCTTACCGATGGCAGTCATTAGGAGTCACACAGAACTTTAATCTGTTGAGTCAAATATAACCTGTCCTTCTCAATCCAATGCTCTAAGCAGCCACTGTTAGGCAGAGCTGGCACCGTCTGTTAAACTTATTTGCCATACCTGGACTCTGATCTCCAAGATCCCTCCTAGATCTAGCCTACTGGTATTCTGCAAGAATAAACCACCAAGAAGAGGAAAACAATATCCTAGAGATAAAAAGTGTTTCTATCAATGTTTAATCACAGGTCATAATTAACAGAGAAAAGGACGTAATGTTGCCTTCCCTGAAGTCTTACTGTGCCTGGTCTACCTGCCTTCCTTGTTATGGTGCACGATGGAAGTCCTTTCTTGTCTTCAGCTTTGCATTACCTAATGAATTCTTTATACAGTTCAAATTCTTCTCTTCCAATCTTTTTTATAGATGATCTATGGTCTCCCTGAATCTGCTCCCAACCATCCAGAGTTTGCTAAACTTCGGGTTTGAAAGTGTGAAGCAAATGCAGCACCCACAGAAGGGGTGGTGTAGACTTCAGTAGCAACAGCATCCCAAGAATGGGGTGGGGGTCACCATATCAAAAATACCATGACCCTGGGAAAGCCCAAGTCTTCTTGTAAACTGGAATAGAAAGCAACACTTCCCTGCATGTATTCCTTGAATCTGGAAATACAGTTCTTCAGTCAGACATGTGTGGTCACTTACATGGCAAACTGTTTTAAACATTATGCAGAGTTCTTTACTAAGTGATTGTGTAAAACTTTAACACCAATTCAGATTATGAATTACTAAGAGGAGAGCTAGATTGTATGGCATTTCTTAAATTCATTTACCCATTTAACACCAGAGCCTTTGAATCTTTGTACCAAGAGGCTTTATTTATTTATTTATGTTTTTCTGAGGCAAGGTCTCTCACTCTTATTGCCCAGGCTGGAGTGCAGCAGCGCAATCACAGCTCACTGCAGCCACGACTTCCCAGGCTCAGATGATTCTCCCACCTCAGCCTCCCCAGTAGCTGGGACTCCAGGGGCACAAGCCACCAGGCCTGGCTAATTTTTTGTATTTCAAGTAGAAACCGGTTTTGCCATGTTGCCCAGGCTGGCGTTGAACTCCTGGGTTCAAGTGATCCAGCCGCCTCAGCCTCCCAAAGTACTGGGACTACAGGTGTGTGCCACTGTGCCCAGCCTATCAAGACCCATTTTATGAGACTAGGGTTCCACAGAACACACGGGGAAACAAAGCCCTGGCAGCTTCTTCGTTTTACAGATGCAGTATTAGTTTTCCCCAGTTTATTGGCAGAACTGGGACAAGAATCCAGGTAGTTCAAAAGAGAAGATTTATTCCTATTTTAATGCCAGAGCTCCTCAACACTGTACCTAAAAACTAGGCAAAAGGTTAATTCCCACACATATGTGAAAATGATTCTTCTTCTTCTTCTATGGGGCTTGCTCTATGATGTTTAGCAGTGACTTTTAATATTACCAGTGGAGGCTAGAGCTTAAAATAACCTTAGAGGGCATCTGCTCTGCCTCCCTTATTTTAGAGGTAAAGAAACTGTACCTCAGAGAGGCTATCGGACTTGGCCAAAAATCACATAATAGAGTTAGAACTAGACCTAAGTCAGCCGACACCCAGTTTCAAATATGGAACCCAATATATTGCAGTTACTAACTCCCAGACTGCACAAAATAGGAAAGGTGCTTACTGAAGTCAAAATAAACCCTTTACTATTGAAAGCTTATAAAAGTATACCTATTTTAAGTTTCATATATTTGTGTGTGTGTGTGCGTGTGTGTGTGTGTGTATGTGTATTCTAACTCCTGAAGGGGCTGACAGGCATAGGAGCTAAGGAAATGATGACTAGAGTTATAAACGGCTAAAAGATGCAAAAAAGAGTCCTCTGTAAGAGTGAAAGAAAACAACAGTCAGGGTATTCAAAAGAAACCCTAGCTTGTTGCTATCAGCAATCAGTGGTTCTCCGTTGTGGCCACATGTAAGAATCCCCTAGAGATCTTCTCAAAAATGCCCATGCTTGGGACTCACCCCAAGAGATTCTGTCTCACCAGACCTAGGGTGGGGCTTGGACTTGGGGAAGTTTTAAAAGCCTTACAGGTGATTCCACTGTGCAGCCAGGGGTGAGAACTGCACTGAACTGAATCAAGGGAATCCAAGGTAGATGATCTTCACTCCTACATCATCCAGCCTCTGGATCTATGGGCAAAATGTCCAGCCGAGAGGTTTTCCAGACGTTTGTTCATGGCTGATGCTTGCTCGCAGCCTCGCCCTAAGCATGCAGCCAGAGCCAACAATTCTCAGCTTCCTTCTGAGCTTCTAGCTACTCCGCGCTGCCTTGCTGGCCTCTGCCTCCCTTTAGCACTTGTTGTCAATCCAAAAACCTGGGGAAGGCTAAAGTGAACTCCTTCTATTTGTTTATGTGGCAGCAAACTCAGAGTCTATGCCGAAAAAATGTTCTTGGCCTTTGACAAAGCCGCCTTGGAGATGCCTCTGTCTGTTTTAAATAGGCCACAAACGAGCCCGGAAACCAGTGCCCTCTGCTGGGAGCCAATCTGCTGAATAAGCCCATATTAGCAGAAAGAGATGGGGTGACTCCAATGCAAGGATGTTTTTGTCATTTATTGTATCATTTAGCTTCAGAGGAATGCAGAACTTTTAAGGCAGGAGCTTGGATTTGACTATGGAGAACAGGTCAAATGGAGATTAATTTGTGTGATTGATATTTTCAGTTTTTGGGAATTCTTGACATACAATGATGAGGTCCTGAAGTATGAAAAGGCATCAAGGGTTTGTGACATTTATTTTTAAAGAAAAGGTCTCATTATTAGGAGGCTAATGTATTACTCACCTTTAAAAGCCTTGGAAGAGGGTTGAGGGCTGGATCTTTGGGACCTCAGAAAGGTATCCACACACAGCAACAACAAGAAAAGCATAGTCCCAGTTTTATGTATACAAAGAAGAGAAAAATAAATGTCTTTCCAAAAGCAACACAAATTCAAACCTAGATGCCTCATCTACTCTGTGATGAAAAGCAGCAGCAAGGTTGACGGTTGAAGAAATTAGCTATTGATAAAGGAAGGTAAGAGTGGCGGGCAAGGAGACTCAGAGCTACCATGGGAACAGATGGAAAGTGTAAAATTATTGTTTTTACTGAGGAAGGCTTGCTGTGTTCTGGGAGCTGTAGAAAACACAAGCTCCCTGCCATCATGAGATCTGCCATCTACATGAAGAGATAAAATAAAGGTGAGTGTTAAACAGCAAAAAGTATGTAAGTCCCAATGCCAAATACAGAAGATATTTCATAACTGAGTGAAAGATAGGCTCAGAGACTAACTTGAGGGGACTCCAGACATGGAAGAGGGTTCCTCTGGCTAAAGTAACTGGAGAAGAATCCATAAAGGTGGGGGCCAAGGAGCCAGATATTAAAGAAGAGAATGAGCATCAGGAGCTAGGGAGAGCACCTAGGGAGGGGGTGGGGAAGAGGGGCACAGCTTGCCCCCATCTGGAGGATTTAGCAAACGTGAAGAGCACATAGAAAGTTTTTGCTCTGCATTTTCCTTTTCCAAGGAGCATGGGAACATCCAGCCTATAGGAAGTTATTCAGGGAAAGACTCACCATGAAGCAAATTGGGGGAGAAAGAAGAAAGTGTAGAAAATTTACACTTATTGACCACCTCCTTAAGCTTGCCCTATGCTGGATATTTTCAATGTATACCCATGTATGACAATGTAGACAGTTTTATTTGAACCAAATCATGGTCCTTAAAATAAAAATACCAAAATCAGTAGCCCTATGTAGATGATGTTATTGCTCTCAATTTACAGAAGAGGAAACAGAGATCTAGAGAAGTTAAGCAATTTGCCTGTGGTCACAGAGCAAATAAGTAGAAAAGCTAGGAAGTTGTGGAGGTGTTGAGTGTGACCAAAGGCAAAAATGCAGACAGGCGTGGATATTCGTTAGAGATTTGCGTTCTTCCAGTGTCCTCCAGCTTTCCCCTGTGAGAGCTTTTCTTTCTTGGTCCCACAATTATAGTCACATCATAGAATTTCAGAGCTAAAGGTGTCCTTACAGAAGTGCCAGACATAGCAGCTCATACTTGTAACTCCAGCACTTTGGGAGGCCAAGACAGGCGGATGACTTGGGGCCAGAAGTTGGAGACCAGGCTGGGCAATATAGTAAAATCCCATCTCTACAAAAAATTCAAAAATTAGCAGGCATGGTGATGTGCATCTGTAGCCTCAGATACTTGGGAGGCTGAGATGGGAGAATCACTTGAGGCCATTAGCCCAAGGCTTCAGTGAGCTATGATCGTACCACTGCACTGTAGCCTGGGCAACACAGCAAGACCCCATATCTTTAAAAAATGTCCAAACCCCTCCTTTGACTTGCAAGAACACAGCTCAGAGAGATGAGCCTGTGTGTGCACAAAGGGTCATGCAGTCAGCAAAGGGCAGTGCTCAGAATCCAGCCCTCATCTGTGAGCCGTATGTATGAGCCAGCCCTGTGAGTGACCAGGTAAGAAAGAGGGGCGGTGATGTGTTGGCTTTGGACACTTATAGAAGGCATTCAGCTTCTTGTCAGTTGTCTGTATCACCCCTTGACAGAGACACAGGAGTGTCTGCCAATCTCAAATCCTAGCAAATCCCTGCTATCTTTGGCTTTTGAAAAAGCGTGGTTCAAGATGGCAGAGCACGCCATTGCTCATGTGGCTCTTCTTTACCCTGAGTCAAAGGATTCATTGAAAAACAGAGTGGGCCAGAGACTCACAGCTCTTCACCCTCACACCTATTTCAGGCCACTGGGAGAAGAGCCAAATAGATGGATCCCTGGCAATTGCAAGCATTTGTCTAAAGATTGCAAACAAAATATTGTCAAGAAATAAGGCTCGTTATAGGTATGGCATCTCAGTTTACTGAGGGCAAATTGACCATGGATAAATGGTGGCTGCATTCTTGAGTTTCCAGCTTCTAAACACAGATCTGAAGAAGTAGGTCAAAGGCCAGCTGGAGGGTCAGTGCAGAGATCCTGTCTTCATGATTGGTGTCTCTGGTCATTGAATAGTGAGTAAATAGATCAGCCCTCACCCTGGGAGAGTGGGGACACACTTTCTGTTGGAGAGAAAGCTACTGATGGTTCTTGAAGCCAAGTAGACTAGGAAATAGTGTATGGGCTACATTTCTTCAGCCCAAAGGCCAGTCACCACCAAATATTACTCCCAGGGACTTGGCCGGAAATGCCACCATAGTTGGCAATAACTACTCTAAATGGCTATCAGTTCCTTCCCAAAACACAAACACACACACACACACACACACACACACAAATGAGGAAAGGCTGTGCATGCTATATTTAAATAATTGAAGCCTTTCTTGATCCAGTCATCTCAAACTACTAAAAACTTTATAATTTCTGTTAAATTAGAATGACCATGTAGACAGTTTTATTTGAACCAAATCTTAGACTTTAAAACTGACCCCAGTGCAGTTTTTTCTTTTCCTTTGGGGACTTATTCTATCGACTTCTGAGCAGTTTTAGAAGGCTTCTGCCAGCTAAATGAAGATGGTTTCATCTACCTGCCAGCCATCTCCACTAGCAGTAAGTGCATAAACAGAATATTACGTTAAAGCCAAGAGCTTCTCCTCTCCCTTTTTCAATTTAGAAATGAGACAAGATCAGCCAAAAAAATAAACATCTACCAGTCAAATATTCTCATTTCAGCTCTGCCCCAACTTAGGGTGTCCTTATATTACATTGCAAGTATCTAATAAATTGAATAATATAGAAAAAGTCTAGATCAGGGCTCCTAACTGGGATACCGAAGTCAAGCGATGAATGGAAAACCTTTTCCTAGTCACTAACTTCTGTGACACGTTACCCACAAAATCTACAGGTATTTTCAATGAGGATGAATGTGTAGTTCAATGGCAGTGACCCATCCCCACCCCTCCTGCTGAACTACATCACTGAGGCCTGGGTGAGAGTGGCCAAAGCTAATGAGAACAATGAATATCACCTTCTTATAAAATGGAGAGGAGCTCCTTGGCCTCTGTCATTCAACTAAAAACTCACTCTCAACTTCCTCTAGAATTTTCAAAATATAATTTTTAAGTGCGGTCCAAGATCATCTGGATAACGACCTTTGTCTTTCACTTCTTACTGTCTCAGTAGATCAATTCTTCCTGAAATGTTCTGCAAATCTCAGTCTTCTTGGATTTCAGTTTTGATATCTCTTAGTGAGGAAACGTTATACATAACTACATCTTAGTACTAAGATGGAGACCATCTAATACAATATTGTATTTTACTCAAGACTGGCTTCTCAAAGCATGGTGCATGATGGTGGAATTGGTTGTTCTCAAAATCACCAAATAAATAGTACCTGAGATAATCCATTTTAGTCAAATATTTGGAGGAAAATATATCTTTGTATGAAAATAATTACAAATATATACTATGGTATAGAAGAGGAGCAAAATATCTATGAGTATCAAGACAAAAATGAAGATTACCAAGAAATTTTTATTGGCCAATTTGAAGCTATGAACCAGATCACCATGGGTAGCAGGATCACTGTTGTCTGTGGGAGATAGACCACCCAGGGAAGGGGGACATGTCTCCTCTCTTCTGCCATGTATAGTACTTTAATGGAGAAATCTGAGAAATATTGACATCATGTTTACAGTAAGGATGTTTTAGAGTAAGGAAAATGGTTGCTTCATGAAAGCCCTGGAGCCATGTTTCCTCAAGAGTGCTCCACTTACCACTAGTTATGCAGAAATGATTTTAGGAAATACATGAAATTAGCACTTCATATTTTAATGTATTTGAATATTTTTCTCTATTTATGGCAAGTTATGCACATGTTCCTCATTTTAAAATTTGTCTTTAACTTAAATGAGCTGAACAAAAAGAAAAAGATTAAATATGATGACACACAGTAAAAGATACAATAAAATCATGAAGGTGGTAAGTGAATGACTGAATTTAAACAAATACTATAGTAATTTAAATTTTTTTATTTAAATTTGTTATTTATAAAATAATTAACAATATTATAAAATATAACCTACCTTTATAATATTCCTCTACTTAATAACATTAAGAAATGCCATACTGGGTCAGCCCCATGGCCTAATTATTAGATCTAAAAAAAGCTCCAAGTAATATTTATTTCCTCATAAATTTATTGAGCATCTACTATGTACTATGGAGAGAGGCCTTATCTAGCCTTACTTAAAGAAGCTATAAGTCCAATGAGAAAGCAGACTCATGCCAAACTCATGCAATCAAGGTCATCATTTTGATGATGGTAAGACCCAAAAGGTTCTAAGAGAGACTAGATGCAGTAACAAATAAAGTGTGCTAGATTTGGGGCCAGAGAAGGCATTACAGAGTAGGTGACACTGGAGTTAAAGCTTAAAATCAATGTAAGTTTACAGAGACCAGTACATTCAAAGGCATAGCTGCCTTTCATAAAAGCAATGACACAAGTTACTGAATAAAACTTAAACATATGTAGATTATTTTAACAGTTTCTGACTTTAGTTCCAGAATGGATTATCTTATTTCTATTCTTTCCCAGTCCAAAAAATGGTCATATCTGTCATTTTTAAGGAAGAAGTTTTAGGAGAGTGGGTAGTCTCCTTTCTTGTGTATGCAGCCTCTTTGTAACATATTCAGGGCATGCCTGGTGTCTTCAGATGTACCTTTTGCTGAAAGGGACTAAAGTTTATGAGAATGAAGAGCCTTGAACAGGGCAGACCATCATCAGCACAGTCACATCCCCTCTCTTCTCACAGAATACTTCCCCTGGGTTCTTCACTCATCCAAATGCCATTCCTTTTTAAAGAGGACATCTGAGCCCTAATTTTAAAATGTTTTAAACTTATCCAATCCTGGTTCATAACTCTCTTTCCTGGAAACCTGAAGGACATTCTCGCCTAGTTATCTAGTGATTTCAAGGCAGTAAGACTCAAATTCTCTACCGAATTATAAGCCAATGAGGCTCAGGGACCAACATATAACATAGAATTTCTCACAGATTGCAATACAGTGCTGAACTTCATTTATTTTGGAGTTTGAGATGCTATAGCTCAAACAAGAAAGCTGGTCAAAAAGAAAGATGTGAATTCTAGCACTTTGGGTTAATGCAGGATGACTGCTTGAGCCCAGGAGTTCAAGACCAGCCTGATCAACAAAGTGAGATCCCATCTCTACAAAAAAAAAAAAAAAAAAAAAAAACCGAAAGAAATATTAATTTAAAAAGAGAAAAAGGATGTGAGATGTGACTCAGCAGCAAACACCTTAAAGATTTGAACTTCTATACACAGTCAACCCACATAACTCCCCCTATGTCTATTACCAAAATAAAAGGGTAGGACACCTGCTCTCTATCTCCACTGCCATTACCATCACCTAATAATATAATATGCATGTCCTTTTTTTTTTTTGAGATGGCGTCTCACTCTGTCGCCCAGGCTGGAGTGCAGTGTCACGATCTCAGCTCACTGCAAGCTCTGCCTCCTGGGTTCACGCCATTCTCCTGCCTCAGCCTCCCGAGTAGCTGGGACTATAGGCGCCTTCCACCACACCCAGCTAATTTTTTGTATTTTTAGTAGAGACGGGGTTTCATCGTGTTAGCCAGGATGGTCTCGATCTCCTGACCTTGTGATCCGCCTCCCTCGGCCTCCCAAAGTGCTGGGATTACAGGTGTGAGCCACCACGCCTGGCCTGCATGTCCTCTTAATTTCCTCTCTCCTACTGCTTAAAGTTACCTTGATGTTTTCAGACACAAACAAAATTAGCACTCAATACATCAAGGCTATAGAAAGATGTAGAAGTCAACTCTCAGAGAGCTTATCATTTATTAGTTGAGACAAGAATGTACATAACTATAATACAAGGCAGAAAATAACTCTTAAACAAGAAATCCTCCCTTGGGCAAGGCAGCAAATACTACTTACAGAATATTAATTATAAACTGACTTGATGTAATTTCCTATTGTGTGACAATGACTCATTCACCAAAACACACCTGGTCAGCATTTTGGGGGCCTGAAGCATCCTATCTGTAGTTCTGTAAGTCAATACATTGGCAAGAAGCTCTGGGGAAGAGATCACCAGACCTATTCTTGACAGGAAGGTTTTCCTTTACACGTGATCTGTGATAACTCTTTTACCCACACCAGAGAGCATCCAAGGAGTATATTCTTGGTTCTCACTAAAGATTTGGTGAATACAAAAAAGGTTAAAGGGTGGAAGACTCCTTAATGACTTCTTTAGAAACAACTTGGAATAGAATGAATTCTGGTTCCAAAGACCCTTGGGAAAATTTCCTTTGGATGAACTCCAAGAGTTAGAGAGATCAAATGGATTTGAGTACTGTCCTTACCACTTCTGGGCACTCCAAACTGCCTCCTTCTTCCCCAAATCTCTTTTGTTATTGAAGAGGCAGACACCAGAATTTCATAGATCTACATTCCTTTCCTTTTGAATATCAGAAATGGTTAATGACATGGCAACAACAGGATATCTGATGACTTAACCCCATTTGCATCACAATTCTCCCAGGATAGACCACCTTTCCAGAAATGGCCCTTAAGGAAATTCCAAATATATGTGGGCCTGTAAATCTCAGTTATTGACCTGGCATGCAACTCCATCTGCCACCTACTATAACTCAATGCCAAGCATCTCACAAATTGAAATCTCATTAAGACGTCTCCAGACGTCTTTGCTCTCCTCATATAAAAGGTGGCAGAAAACATTCTCAATTGGCAACCCTTATGCCCATCACAACCCTGGCTGCTATAACTACACACATGAATATCTTTGTAAAACTGATCCAAGGAGCAGCTAGAAATACCTTTTTGGACAGCCATCTGGGTCTGCCTTAGTGTCTTGCTCACTTGCCAGCATTTCATCATCCTTAGCTTCCCCACCCAGAACTGAGCACAGTGCCTGACACATAGTGGGTGCTCAGAAATGGAAATGACTGAGAAATAATTCTATTCTACTAATTTTTTATCTCATCTATTTTCCCAAATTCAATTTAGTTTAACCCCACTATGAAAAAGTTACCTAAGTTTATTTGGTCCAGATCAGAGATGGGACAAAGTTGAACATGATGCCCAATTGTAATCAATAGAAAAATTACAAGCAGAAGGCAATGAATGTCTCTAGAGTTGGCTGTTGTAGCATTGTATGAACCCACCTAATATACTCCATAGCTCAACAGCATTTGTGTATATACAAATAATGGATACTCATTCAATAGTTATATATACACAACTATTATTTGTATATATACAAATAATGGATACTCATTCAATAGTTATATATACACAACTATTATTTGTATATCTACAAATAGTTGAATCCTTACCTTAGGTCCTCAAAAAAACCTAAAATACCTTGGAATTAGAACTTGATTTATCTGGCTTAATATAGCCATCGACGATTTCATTACATATTTATTGCAAGGACTGTGTACCACATCTGGAAGTTGTGTGACCAAACAGGTCTAGTAGATATGAGGGATGGGAGAATTAGAGAATAGAAAGTAGTCTGCTATGCCAGTGAAGTTGGCATAATGTGTGCTCTATATTCAAATGTGAATAGAATTTCTTTAAGTGTGGTGTTTTTATTCCAACTTCTTTCTATAGCTATCTAACATAGTTATTCCTCTCTGAAGTTAAGTGAACATATGTACTTTTTAAAAAATGCAATACCAACACTTACCAGACAACTATCATATTCCTGACATCGGCCTATATGTTTAACATTCATTCACTTACATAACCTCTCAACAGGCTTTTCAAGTAAGTAATATTTTCCCTATTTTATAGACTAAGAAACTGAGGCTCAGAGATTAAGAAACTTACCAAACATCACAGAATTCACTAACAGATGAGGGATTCAAACAGTTCTCTTTGATTCCTACCCATGCCCATCACATTACCTTTTAACTGACTTTTAAAGAAAATAAAAATGGTGCTAGTTGTAGCCACCAAAAACAGGTGGAAATAACCTTCAAAGGAAAAACTGAAAACGTAAGCTTTTCTTCACAATAGAACAGTACCATTAGTAACAGCAGAATGGAGAGGCTGAAATGAATGAGTACGCTTATTTTCAAGATCAGAGAAGAAAGGCTGAGAATGAGCTGTACTCTGGAGGTATGGATGTGCAACAGACAAAGAAAGCAAGCTTACTTCCGGTATCACTTATTCCATCTTCTCTACACTTTCATAGTACCTCTGAACCCTAGACCTCTCATGTATGGTTCCTACAAGAAATCAATTTATTGTCAACAAATATATTTGATGGTAGTTACCTCTTCCAAAAAGATAAACAAAATGTACATTCTTGAGGTCCCTGATGTTATCCACCTTCCTATATTTCAAGACTAACAAGAGTCTTTTAACAACTTCTCCCAGAGATATTGCCAGAAAAACAGCTTGTTTCTGGGCCTGGCCTGGCCAACCCTTATAGGTTAGTTGTTTTCAACCCCAGAAACACATGAGAATGACCTTAAGAACTGGTTTTAAATACTCATTTCCTGGGCCTCATTCCCAGAGATTCTGATTCAGTTGGCCGGAGGTGGGTTCTGGCCACTAGCATTTTTTCATTCTCCCCAGGTTGTTTTCATGTGCAGCCAGGATTGAGAATCACTGGCTTGTGCCCTCTGCCCCACCCCTACCACAGACATACATACTCCTACCATCTAATATCCCTAACTGCTAGAAAATGCTAAAGATTGATGATGGGCCAATATACCCATCAAGATACCCCATCTTCTTGAACATTCTCCTTTTCTCCTCTTTTACTTCCCATATCTCTTTCTTTTGCTAAAATGCTTCACTCAAAAACTACACTCAAAAATTCTCATGGGCAAGTAGTTCAGACAGGCAAGAAATACCTTACTTACCTGCCCCTGCATATATTCCCACTTTTGCCTATTTTTATACTATAATACTTTGGGATAGTTAATGGGAAGATCAAACTCCCAAGAGTCTTCGAAGAAAATACCCAAATAGTTTGGAGACTTGCTTGCTTGTTCCATAGACTTAATTTCCTGCAGTGGCAATATTGTAGTTACGAACTTTCATTTAGGAAGGAATGTGACAACGTCAGATTGCCTTAGCCTCACAGAGGGGCATAATGCCAGGCTCCTGGGAGTATCCAAAAGCAGAGAAAGAGACATCACAATCATCCAAATTAAGTCACCATCCTTGTATGCGTGTGCTGTCTGATAGCCACTGTGCTGTGTGATGGGATCCGTAGAGTCTGCATGAGCTAGAGCCACCACATACAGAAAATTCAGGATCTACGTGAAAATTCCACTTATAAACATGAGAAGATCTGTAACAGCATATGACAAAACCCTAATTAATGAGGAGAGAAAGGAAGGAATTACATATAGACAAATTTTGATCCCAACACTTCAGGCTGTCTTGCTCATTGAATCATTACACTTACACAACTATTTCCATTTCAAAGATGAAGGAACTAAGGCTCAGAAAAGTTAACCTGGATCAATAAGCGCTTGGGTAGAAAACCCACATTCAAATCCTGACAGCCTTACTGGCTACAAGCCATGTGATCTTAGATAAGTTCTTTTTTTCTGAGTTTGTTTCCCCACCTGTAAAATGTAAAGGTAATAAGATCTCCTATTCAGTTGAAGTGAAAATTAAGTAAAAATATAAATCTAGTGTAATAATCAAAACTCATTAAGTAATCCCTGTCTAAAAGGTTATAGTATCTGGAATTTATGCAACATAGCATAACAAGTGTCACAGCCAAGCAATAAACTCGGGTCTGTAAAACTCCATTCCCTTTCTACAACACAAGACACTGGAGACCAAAACAATTCAAAGGAAAAAGTGATGAGGTGCACTGAGAAATTCAGGGAATACTCCAAAGCTGCAGAGGTAAGAAGTTAACTAAGCATCAAAAAAAGAATTTAGATAAGTAAGACTTTTATGTTCTTCACTTTGCGGCTGGGCTAAATCCCTGAAATATCCCATTTTGGTAACTAACATCAGAAATTATATTCAATTGCTCTTTTGATAGACAGCTACAAACTTTAGCATGATGTTAAGCAGTTATGACAAAGAGCAGAGAACAAAAATTAGGATGGTAAAATCACCAATCCCGAGTCCAAATCCCTCTGCTAAATCTATTAACACACCAGTAATTTGCTCTTCAAGCTCTGGTCACTTTGAGCCAGGCCTCGCAAAGGGCGAGGCATGGCCACGCTTCTCTCTAAGGGCAGACACAGACAGACCAGAGCCCCTGGAAACTCTTGACATCTGTGAAATCTGTGAGTGAAAGGGCACATCTTGGAGTGTGCCTGCTCTTGCAGCTACCTTCCAAGGTGCCTGAACCACTCCTCTTAATGAACTCCACATGCTGCCAGTTATTTATAGCATCACCCCAGTGTGTGTTTTGTTAAAGCCTCTAGATCATATTTCTGAGCTGTGTAAGTCAATTTCCTACAATTGGCCCATTAAATTTTGCCTCCCTTTCCTCCTCCTCCACATTCTTGGAAATCCATGGCTGACTATACAAACAAATGTACAGACTTATCAAAATATTTTGAAGCCATTATTTGCCCTCTCTGTTTTTCTTATGAATCCATAAGTGTGAATTTCTAGAGCATTGTCTTCCTGGAAACTTACATCTGACAGGGCAATTCAACAGAAGGATAATTCAGTTGAAGGAGCAGAAAAGGAAGATTCTAAGGAGACGGGCAAGGTGGTCAGCTAAGTTAGCTCATATATAAATGGAAACTAAGCCAGAAAAAAAAATGCAGCAGGAAAGCAAAACAAAACAAAACAAAACAAAAAATCTTTAGACAAAAGAACAACAGAAAAAACCGGAGCAGAGGCAAAAGAGGGTGAAGTAAATAATTAAACTAAAAAATACCCACAGAAAATGCAGAAGCTAAAAAGAAGAGAACCCACTCTCTGGTGGCATAAAACAGAAAGAAGCCAAGTCTGTGTGACATCACATCTTACCAGTCCTTACCTCCCTTCTGGTAAAATGCAGAGGAAAACTTTTATCAACATTTTATAAATGCACGTATTTCAGTAACTCTAGAAATGCATTTTCCAAAAGGAAAGAATTCCACCTCATCCCATTTTAAAAACATATTTCAATAAGCGCAAATGCTTTCTTTTTCTTTTTTTTTTTTGAAGATGTGAAATCTTGTACTGGTCGTTGGTTGTTTCTCTTTCAGTACAATCAGAAAATAGTGGAATACTGAATTATGGGAAGCTTCCATTATCTCAGGTGTCAACATTCCATAGGTTGGTGTGGGGGCAGTTTTTATGTTCTATAATACAAAGCATACTAAATGGAATAAATGGAAATTTAGAGTCACAGTTAAACATTCGACTTATGTCTTCTCTTTTAAGCATTTTAAACTACCTCTATTATATTGATTTTTAGAAGAATTGTTTTCTAAAGAAAACTGCTTCCTGATGTTGGCGCAGGTGGGCTCTCTGTGATATCTGCGGCCATGGTAGTCCATTTTTCCTACTAACTTTGTTAATGTCCTGAGAAAAACTAGAAATTTGAATAGGTAGGATATGGGGTATATGATATTAATTATGAATTATTGGAACTTACATTGTGTACAAATGGCTCACAATATCTGTCTACTGATAAAAATATAATCTCAACATTTTAAGAAATCTAAGTACATATTAGGATTACTTTCCTCAATTTCTTTGTGTTAATAGGATATAAAGAATAGGATTTCCCAGAAGAAGAGACATTTTTATCCCAGTAATCCGTAAGTTTCTGTTTTGGCTTGGTTTTGGTTTTTGCTAAGATTCACAGGCTTTACTATGTTTTAGGCACTAGTGCCTTTCTCATTTAATTCGTATTACAATCTTGAATTAGATATTATGACATTTTACAGACAATAAAATGGGGTGTAGAGAGATGTATCCAGAGCTGCACAGCTAGTGGACGTCTGAGCAGGAGCCACATGCAGAAGAGTCTGACTCCAGGGCCTCAGCGTGTAATGCCCTACACCTGCTGCATGGGTTTACATTTCCAGCTGCTTTAAAGTTAAGACTATGGATGTCTGAACAGCTCTTTTTCCTTAGAGCATAAAACTAAACTAACCTAATGTTTTTTTTTTTTTAACAGTGCTGTGTTTAGTCATTCCTCCCAATGCCAGTGATCCCTTAAATCTGGGTGTTGTCCATCATCATCCCTGCCCGTCTCCGTGCATCCACAACTGCCACATCCTGAGAGCTCAGTCCATCATGTGAGCCTCCATAAAGGCTCCTCCATGCAGCCCCCTCCCCTCCATCTTCTCCCCTGCCCTGTAGCAGCCTCTCCTGAGTCCTCCCTTAGACCATTGCAATAGCCTCTGTATTTGAAAGAAGTCTCTGAATTCAAGGGACACAAACTCCTCTCAAAGTGATCTAGGTAAAAGAGTGTGACCTAATGGACACTGGGAGGAAGGGCTACAGAACAGAAGGCTGATGCAACCTCCGGGCCTTGGGAAGAACTGGGAATAAGGCTCTCCTGCCTTCCCACCTCTTGCCTCTTCTTCTCTGCTTATCCCGTCACTTTCATTCATTCTCTCTGAGCATATGGCATACCCTACATGTCAGGAAACACCACTACCTAGGGCTCTCAGGAGTGCCAGCCCACAGCTTCTACAATAGCAAGAGATACAGTTATAGAACCAAACTTGGGTCCACTCACTCAGTACAGTAAGACCAGATGTGCACACTGAGATTTTGCAGCCACAGGAAGGAAGTTGTTTATTTGCAGGGCACCAAGCAAGGAGGAACAGGCAGCTAATTCTTATATCCTGACCTCAATGGCTTGCAAGTAAGGGTTTTGAAAGGCAGGTGTAAATTTCAGGAATGCAGAAGTTACAGGCAAAATCATAAATCAATACATGGAGGTTATACGTTAGTGTTGGCCTAAAAGGGTGGGATATTTTGAAGCGTGGGTTTACACATCTTGGGTAGATTCAATGATTTTCTTATTTTCAATTGGTTGAGGAAGAGAAGCTTTGTTTAAAAATTTGGAGTCAGCAGAAAATAATGTTAGCTCTGGCTCATGGGTGTGGCTCCCTCCAGGACCCCTGGGAAAAAATTTACAAGAATGGTGGTCAGAGTTTAGTCTTCAGGTCTCTCTTATCTGAGGTCTACGTGCCAGTGGATCCAATTGGTGGGGGTGTGGGTTTCTGAACAACAACTTGGGGACATATGTTAATATGTTATCATAAGAATTACCCCCATTTTTCTAACAGTTCATTTTTTCTCTTTTTCTTTTCTTCCTTCCTTTTCTCCACTTTCTACGTATCTCTTTAGAAATGCAATTATAGCCTTTTACCTCCTCCTCACCAGATACTCTCTACAGGGCAAGTTCATCAAACTGTGTGCTTAGAAGCTCTGGAGCAGAACTCTCACCCACCAGAAGATTGCCTCAAGAGATAAAAGATGATTTACAACCCAAAGTATGCCCACTAGAGGTTTTGGCCATTTTTACAATGTATTCCTGCCCATGAAGATGCCAACTTGACTGCCCAATACATAAAGCACCAAAGCAAGTATGCGGACCCCCCCACACCTCCTCACTTCTGCTCCTGTGTAGACCCCCATCTTTAAAAGCACTTACTTTCTCCTGCAAAAGCAAATCAGACCCTTACAGCAGGAAGGCTTTTCTTCTTCTCCTAAACTAGCTTTGGAATAAAAAGTTATTTTCTTTATACCAGACCTCACTCGTGTTAATTGGACCCTGCAAATGGCATGTGACTGAACCTGTGTTTGGTTACATTATCTTTAGTTTCTAGTGAAACCAAGCATCCCCTGATTCTAACTTCCTTGTTATTGTTTTAGGTTACTATTACCTTCTTGTTTATCAAGTTCACATTTACTTCTTAGGGCTAGCTAGGTGCCTGGAATTTCCCTTGAAAGAACTCAGGATTTTCCTTGGTTTCTATGCTTGGGGGACTACAGGGCCCTAAAAGGGGGCCCCTCCTCTGTCTCAACACCCTAATTCCCAGAATCTGTTTGGAACAAAGACTCGCAGAGAAGCATACCTCTAGATCAACCAAACGCGGTGAAGGAGCAGGGTCAGGTAAGGACATGGAAACACACGCTTGGAATTGGAGGGGTACAGTTCCCAGAACAAGCTGTTGCTTTTCCAACCTCTATGGATTTGCCCTTGCTGTTCCCTCCTTCATACCCACCTCATGATCTCTCCTCACAACCTTCACACAAGACCATCTTAAATAGCACCAGCCAGGAGTCTTATTCCATCACCTCCAAGGGGCCTCTGTTCTTTGAATCCCCCACCCCACTGCAATAGTTGTTTCCTCCCTTAGGACACTTCCTTACTTACATTAACAATAGTGTTTGCAAGTTTCCTGGCAGAATTAAACTCCTTGAGAGGAGATCTTAATCACTTGTATATTCCCCAGAAATATCAAGCAAAATTCTTGCCTACTACAGGAACGCCATAATTGTTTTCTGAATGGCTGAATGCACGAATATAATTAATGACTGAGACAAGTTTCAGGAAGTATGTTGGGTGTTAGATTCCTCATCAAGCAGTGCAGACTCTTCACAGTGTTGCTGGAAGTTTGTCCTTTGTTGGACAGAGGATGCACCATGACTTTTCTCATTGACGGGTTTAGTGACACGCCCGTATTAGTTTACCAATCTAGCCCTGAGGAAAGTATGGTTTAACAGCTCAACTTACTTATTTATTGATACCAGAGATATCCTATTGGATTCATTTAAATTATACCTGGGGGCAAATGTTACCTCTGCCTCTACATTCTTGATGCAAGCTACTTAAAGCCTAAGTTTCTTCTTCTACTGAATGGGAGTTAAGAGAAGCTCTCTTACGGAATTGCCTTTAGCCTCGAGAAATAATCACCTGGGCTAGCTTCAAGACACGGGCCCTACATAGTCTCACAATAAGGCTGCTCAAAAGGGGCCCCCACACAGGAGGTTCTGGGCTCTGCAGTCGCAGTCCTGAAACTGTTTATATCTTTGAATTTGTTTTCTGTGAGTGAAGTCCAATAGGACAATGGAGCATGCCCCAGGATCCTTAGAGCCTGGCTCACCATGGTTCTGCTTCCTACCACCTCCCAGGGCAAGTTCTTGGCCACTCACCTACCCACTGTCTGGTGTCCTGGTCTCTGTCTCATTGTCACCCACCCCCAACTAATCGGGTCCCACACGCTGGTACAGAGAGGATCAGGGTAGGCCTATGCCTGCCAGAACACGGTATGGTGACACCTTCCCAGGGCTAGCAGAACCAGAGTGTGTTTATTTAGCATCTCAGCAGAGGCAAGCTTCTCACCCACCCCATCCAGATACATAGTGGGTCCCAGCACAGGGGTCACCAGTCATATTAGTCTGTGTACACTGTTACAAAGGAATACCTGAGACTAGGTAATCTATTTTAAAAAATGGTTTACAGTTCTGCAGGCTGTACACAAAGAATAGAGCCAGCATCTGCTACTGGTGAGGGCCTTCAGAAGCTTGCAATCATGGCAGAAGGTGAAGGGGAGCTAGCCACATGGCAAGAGTGGGAGCGAGAGAGAGAAGGAGCAGGGTCTAGACTCTCTTTAAAACAACCAGATCTCATGTGAACTCATTACCACAGGAAGAACAGCAAGACATTTTTGAGAAATCTGGCCCCATAACCCAAATGCCTCCCATCAGACCCCACCTCCAACACTGGGGATCACATTTCAACATGAGATTCGTGGGGGGACAAATAACCATATCACCAGTCCACCATGGGTTGGAGAAGGGGAGATGCCTGTTTTGACCTCCCCACTGCAGACAGGACATGGCACATTGGTCCAGCAGCCAATGGACCACAACATCAAAGGAGCTGGTGAGGGTCCATACTCATCCACAGGTATCCCCATACCCAAGCGTGCCACACCAAATAACAGATAAAAACCACATTGACAGGTAGAAAGGGATCAAGGAGGAAAGTAAAAGCTATTTTAGTACCTTTAACTGCACGATTTTCCTTCTGTTTGAAAGAGGGAGACTTCACATTTTTATTTTGCACTGAGTCCTGCAAATCAGTCAACCCTGTATGTCACCTAGCACTGTGGCAAGCACCTAAAAAGAAAAAGTGCTCATTGATATTATTAATAAATGTTCACACAAAGTCTGACAATTTCACACAACAAGGCATGTACAAAATTATCTGACATCTATAATCTCATTTGAGCTTCTGAGGTAGGTATGATATGGGCATTTGTTCATTTTATAAATGAGAGAACTGACATTCAGAGGAGTCAGGAGGCCTAAAACCACGTCACTGATTAGTGGCAACACGGGGCCTGGAACCAAGGCATTCTGACTTGCAGCCTGTGTTTTCACCAGGTACCTGCCCGCCAGTAACCTGTGGGGCAGCTTAGCGGCCCTTTCATCACTTCTCTGGAGGAAGGAGGAGCCAACAGCACTGAGCCATCCTGGAAACTTTGCCGGGTGCCATGGAGCTGTGAGTGTTTGCCCCGGCCACTGCAAGAAGGAGTCCCACCCTTGCCTTGCATTTATTTTCTTTCCCTAACCTCACAAAACCATAAAAACCAAAGATGACTCCTAAGCAGCCTGCCATCCAGCTCTCTGAACCCCCAACCCCAGGCTGTGGACGGCAGGGCTACAACACTTATTTCTTTGCTCCTGTTGACTCAGGTCTGTTTACCTGGCGCCGTATTTCCAATTTCCTTGCCTCGGAACTTGTACAGCCCTCAGATTTATGCTCTAGGCAGACTGGGGATTTATGGCGTATTCATCACCCATCCCACCCCAGGACACGGCACCTCTCCCTGCAGCTGTCAAAACCACCCACTCGTACCCAGTGAGGTGTCAAGCAGTTCACTGAGGAAACCTCCTTGGAAATAATGCCCAGTTCTAGCCAAAAGGTTTTGCCCAATTGCTCAAGCCCTGGTGATAAAAATGCCAAATATTATGTGGAGTGAAAAACAGAGGTCAGACTAGCCCAGAGGGCAGGGTGGGGCAAGAATCATAGACTGGGATTAGGGGACAGAGAAGGTTTGGCAGATTCCATGCTCCTGAATTTGCCCTGATGTGCCCTGGCGTGGGAGATTCTTGGAGTAGATGGAGTCACACTTTCTGGGAACCATGTTTAAAACTGATATGCTCTTCAGATTGAACTAAATCGAGAAGCCAGTTTTCCCAAGTCTCAGGAGAATGATCTTTTTACAACTTCAATTTTTATTTGGGGAATATTAAGTGAGAGATGAGTATGGAGTCAGTGGCTAGAATTGACAGAGGCCATCATCAGTATTGGTTCTTAAACTAGAAAACATACAGAAAACATAGCTACACATATTGAACATAAGCCATTTGCCATCCTTGACCTTTGCATACATTATTTCCAATCCTCACAACAGCTCTGGGTCACATTTATTTTAGGCACATTTTAAAAATGAGGAGATTGACATTTGAGAGGTTGCATAATTCACACAGAAAGTTACACTGCCAAATTCACACAATAAGTCACACTGCCAATAGTCGAACACAGGTATCATATTCCTCCGCCAAGCAAGTTCAGTTCATGCTCTGCTTACTGAGCCTCTCGTTCTATCCCATGGGAAAGAATAACAATGGCCACCACTCCTGACATCAAGAGGACTTATCCAGGCTACTTTGCAAGAAGACAGCCAGTCTCTTCAATGGCTGTTGGTTCTGGGCACTCATCCAGAGTGCCACAGATACCTCTTTATGCATGAAGGAAGTACACGGTAAGCCTCTTTATTACTAGAGGAGAGTGGATGCAGACGTTGCTGGTTTTCCATTCACCCTTTTGTTCTGCTCCTTATTTCTTCTCTTTACTTTTAACCATTTTCCTACTTATGTTAGCATCTCTTCCAGCAACAAATAACTTAAGGCTAAAGAGAGAATTGAAATCCTGTACTTTTGTAACAATGTCTGATAGGACTTGGCCAGTAAGGAATGACAATAAAGAAAACACCGCTACTATCACCAGGAAGGAAATCGTATCCATTGAAAAAACTCAGTTTTAAAGTTATCTGAATTTTATCAATCCTTGATCTTGCCTCCCTCATCAGCTCAGACAATTTGGAGCCTTTTGATAAGTACATAGACAGTCGATAAGGTCAATCCCTATAGAAGAAGGGATTAAAAAAATAAAGCCCCATAATTTACATGGAAAATTAATATTGCTGGGTGTCATTAACTCTAGTATTCAGTACCATCATCTATAAAAGAAATCCAATTCAATAAGCATTTATTAAGAGATTACCATGTAAAACACAGGATTGTAGACATAATGGAATTATATAAAGAAATGTTTATTACTTACACAATAAATAAGATATTCCAGAGTATGAAAGGCCTACAGTTAGAGCAGATACTCACATAAGTAATGGTAACTCCGGCTTGACTACAATTGAGCAGCAGGAGAAACTCACAAGGTGTTAGACATCTAGGAGTTAGAGTACTTACCACCATCATCCTCATCACCAATGTCATTAGGATGTGATTATGGTACGTATGGAAGGGCTCTGTAAAGAACTATAAAATTCAGGGATTTTTTTTTTTTTTTTTTGAGACGGAGTCTCGCTCTGTCGCCCAGGCCGGACTCCGGACTGCAGACTGCAGTGGCGCAATCTCGGCTCACTGCAAGCTCCGCTTCCCGGGTTCACGCCATTCTCCTGCCTCAGCCTCCCGAGTAGCTGGGACTACAGGCGCCCGCCACCGCGCCCGGCTAATTTTTTTTGTATTTTTAGTAGAGACGGGGTTTCACCTTGTTAGCCAGGATGGTCTCGATCTCCTGACCTCATGATCCACCCGCCTCGGCCTCCCAAAGTGCTGGGATTACAGGCGTGAGCCACCGCGCCCGGCCCAGGGATTTTTAAATCACCACTTTTATTACCCAGCATAACAACTAAGAGTGTGGCCTCTGATCAACCTGCCCGGACTGGTTTCCCTACTTTGCAACTTCTCACTATATAATCTCAGGTAAATTGCTTAAACTCTAAGCTTCAGTTTCTCAGCTATAAAAAGGGGATAATACGATCAACCTCATATAGATGTGTGATACTTTAATAAGTCAATGTATGTAAAGGGCTTTGCACATTAATCAGCACAAGACTGTAAAAGTATCATTGGTGTTATTATTAGTAATCCATGCTTACCAGCCTCATCAGCTCAGAGGCAATGCAAAATATAAATATTATCACCAGTTGGCCCTCTGTTAGACTTTCTATAAAAGGCTTAAAATCACTCTATCCAAGTGAATAATCTCTCCACGAATATTCTTTGAGCAGCTATTCTATTCATTGGATATTCACATATTCATGGTATAATGGTGGGCTTTGCACAAAGCAAGTTATACTACTCAATTGGAACATACAACCTAAAATATACATCTATTACAGTCTTTTCAGAGTAGAATGAAAAAAATGCTTTGGAGAGCAAAGTGAATTAGAGTTTTATAATTCTGGCAGTTCAGCCAATATGAAAATTGGATGATTCAGGAAGAAAACAAATTATTTGGGTAAATCAGCAGCTCGTTCTCCACTTTGCTAGACTCTTTAAAGTGACTTGGGGTACTCAATTTGTCAGACATTTGTTACGGTCTTCAATTTCACCAGGTGAAATTTCAACATTGTTCAGCTCTCCTCTCAATTAAGCAGGCCCAGCTCAAGTATTCCCTACTCTGTTTCTCCATGGGCAAGTGTAACTTCTCACCACGTCTCACAGTATGATGCCTAGCACTGCCCACAGAACAGGCCCTTACTTGTTCAACTGGCTTAGAACAGTGGCCAGCAGGCCAGGCTTGATCTTTAGAATGAAGCTCTTGACAATATGAAGAACATAATTGTCATTTTAGAAAGATATCCTGCAGTGTGGAGAAAGATTTAAGGTGAGAAGGACTGAGTAAGGAGAGATCATGAGAAGGGATCCATAGGAGATATGACAGGGACCCAAGGTAAAATTGTAGGAAACAAATTTGAAAGATTCATAACTAACAGATGTTAACGAACCATAGATGTGGATGGTGGGGGGAGAAGAGCTCATACATAATAACAGGGTCCTCTCTTGAAATAATTTATAGGTAATGGGGTCATCAAAAAAGAACTAGAAATGTAAGAGGAGAGGCAGGCCAGAGAAGCACAATCACAAAACCATTTTCCAGATATTGAGTTTGAGGTGTCTGTACAACATTTGCATGAAAAGGTTAGTAAATACTTTCACATGTAGATCAGAAAATTAGGGGAGAAAGCCAGGCTGCAAATACAGATTCTGGAGGTAGTGGTGGTTACCTGATACCATCACATGGGGTACTCAGAATGAGCACTGCCTAGAAAAGTCAAAGCCTATGCCTTGAACGGCAACAAGTAAGGAGTGGATGAAGAAAGAACAAGGGCACTTGAGAAACAGCCTGTGGGTTATAGAAGGAAAGACAGAAGACAGAACAGTGACTGAAGCCAAGGGAGAAGGAGTTAAAGTAGCTTCTTAAACACAAACTTCACTGTTGAAGTAGCTTGTGTTTAACAAGCTTCTTTCTAGCCATAATTCCTTGGCTTAAAGATTTTCTGCAAAGGGAGTTTCTGTTAGTATCCCTCTGCAATCTGGGAAGGATGATGCCCTGATCCCTGTGTACTATGCAAGCTTGGGTGAGTTCATCAGAATAACTAGAAGTTATCAAATCAAGTACAGAGTAGAACACCAGATACTCAATTTTCCATGTGAGAAGAGCCATTGAGAAGGGGTTTATGTTTGGGATACAAACTGAAGAGGCCCAGTCTGTAGAAAGCAAATCTAAGCGATCAAGTGGCATCAGGCGAATCTCCGATGCAAAATGACTTATGTTGCTACTTTGCCCTGTGGAACATAGGTCCCGCCACTCCTTAAGTGTAGCTGTGCTTGGTGACTTCCTTCCAAAGAGTACAGTATAAAAGAGGGGTGAAAAGAATAACTTTACAGTGGAAAAAAACTTTACAAACACTACCTCCACCAGGTGACCAGGGTTAATGGACTTATCAACCAAGATAAGTCATGGAATAGATTCTGGAGGTAGTGGTGGTTACCTGATATCGTATGTGGTACTCAGAATGGACACTGTCTAGAAAGCTCAAAGCCTATGCCTCGGAAGGCAACAAGTAAGGAGTGGATGAAGAAAGAAGCACAACAAGGGCAGGTACCCTTGATATGATGTGAGGAAAATGGCACTTCACCTCTGTGGTCTTGCTCCAAAAACCCATAATCCCCATCTAATCATGAGGAAGTCATCGGACAAATCCAATTTAAAAAGTACACTACAATATGCCTGGTCAGCGCTCCTCAAAACTGTCAAGGGTCATCAAAAACAAGAAAAGTCTGAGAAACCATCACAGCAAGAGGAGCCTGAGGAGACACATGACAACTAGATGTAGTGTGGTATCCTGGATGGGACCTGGAACCCATTAGGTAAGCCTAATGGGCATTAGGTAAAAAAGGGCATTAGGTAAAAGCTGAGAATATCTGAATGGAGTATGGGCTTTAGTTAATGACATATCAATATCTTCTCATTAAAATTGTGAGACATTTATGCCATAGTAATGAAGGATCTTAACAGTAGGGGAGAGAGGCTGGATATGAGGTAGATGGAAGCTGTCTGTACTATCTTCACAACTTTTCTGCAAATCTAAACTATTCTAAAATTAAAAGCTTATTTTTGAAAAATGGCATCACAGGAATGTAATCCTATCAGAAGGGCTGAGGGACTACAGGGGAAAGTCTGTCAAGTTGACCTTTGTGTACATCACAATTTTTCAAGGAGCCAATACTGGTCAGGAAAGTCTTCACTAGGGCAAGAAAGACAAAAGTGGAGGGCCAGGTCTCACCTCTATCTTGGGAAGGAAAAAAAAGCCATACTGAATAATTTGATATATAGCCAAGGTCAAGTCTAGTATTGAAATGTGTTACCAGTGGGCATATGATGCCCAGTAACATTGAGAATAAGCAAATATTTTCCTCTAACATGTGAGTAAACTTTCTAAGAGGTTAAAGGCTTGTAGCAACTAAAAGTCTACCTCCCAATGTACAGTATGATTGACTAAATCTTCCAGTTTGATTTTTAGGACAAAACAGAATGAGACCATTCTGCCATGAGGATCAAAATCAGCTCAGACACTTATCTCCCATCCCTCTTTGTTTTCACCCTGAGAATAGGGCTGTCAAAACTTGGTGGCTTTAATCGCATTGTTAAAATCTGCATCATCTTTTTTCCTGAAACTGCCTCCAGCTGGCATTTGGCTGGCTCCCTGAGAAAGACAACTGGACACCTCATGCAAAAGTTAAAGCAACAACCTCAGAAACAATTCTGCTAGGAGTTGCTGAACCAGGGCTCCATCTTTTTTCTTTGCTGTTGTCCAATAATAGACTCAAGAAGAGGTTTATATATTCCAGATAGGTTTGTAAATACCCCAAGATCATAGAATGTTAGGTCTGGTAGGGATCTAACAGATTACAAATATGATTCAACTCCACATACTACAGAAAGAAAATTGAAATCCAGAAAGTCACACAGCTAAATGTAATCAGGATGGAAATTAGAACCCTGTTTCCTGGCTTCCAGAAGACAAAGAGGTTGACTCTAAGAATAGATTTGTTCCTCAGAACCCTCAAGCTAATTACCAGGGAGCAATTTCACTATGTCAAGGTCCCTGCAAAGAGTTTTTCTGATGATGGCCTACTGTAGATGTGTTCCTGTGACACCTACACACTCATGACAGAAGCAGTACAATGTTTGGATTAGGGGATCTACTTGGAAAACCAAATTCCAGTCCCTGACTTCTGGAGTCTCCCAGTGACTCTGAGTGACATTCTAGCCACTTAGTCATCTCCCCCTGGCTCCTCAGTTCAGCAGAGCAACTTCTACCATTAATTCTTCGAGCACTGTGAAAAACTAAGGGAGATGAGGGGGTAGTGCAGAGAAAAGTGTGGGTCATTTAACCTGGATGAAAGCCATACGGTCTCAAATCCCCACACTAACCCACGTGCCAGTGTTATAGGTGGCATGTGACATAAATTAGTCACCGATTTCCATCAGTCACACCTCTGCCCAGTCCCCACTTGACTCCAGTTGATCCATAAGTTGTTATTATCTCTGGGATTTCAAGATTTTTAACTATACCAAGAAGTCTTCCGAGGCAACAAGTATGCTTTCTAGCTCCCCTTTGAAATAATCTCAAAATGCATTAATGATCTGGCCAAAACTTTGTTTTGCTGTCATACTTTCTTTTTCTGTAAATATACAAGCATGTGTCCTAATTAAGTTCTTATGTGGATTGTGTTAAGTCTGTGGGTTTTGGTGACTGCAAAAGTTCTCTGTGGTTTTATCCTTTTATTTCAGGAAATACTTTTCTAAGCTATCCTCTCATGGTTTATATTCCTGTGTTCAGGAAGCTCATGTTGTTTCCAATGGCTGTTGCTCATTTTCCTCTCAGCTGGAAGAAGATGGGTTGAGCATCCACTCATGAGATATGAAAAAGGGAGACATCTATTCCATGCAGAAACAACTATGAAAGAACAGAACACCATCAACATGGTATCTGTTATCAAGTTCCCAATGGATTGTCTGTCATCACTGATAGTTGAAGGCTATCAACTGTCTCATCTGGGAACACATAAATATCACGGCTTTCAACTATTGGCTATGCAGTCTCTAAAGATTAGCCAGGGTTTGGGGGCAGGTTTTATTTAAAAGCCTCTACCTTTCAATCTATTTTTGCTTATTGCTAAACTATAAGTTCACATATACTGATTACCAATTTGGAGTTGCTAAACTAAGACCACAACAGCAGGGATAAAGTTACATTCACTATTTTATTCTAGTACCTCACCCAGTCTCCTATGAAGGAGACATACCCAAAAAAGGACAGGGCAGTATTTCATCAAAGAATGAATTATTGAATATTTACCACCAGGCAAACTTAAGCTCTTCCAAACTCATTCCTTCATTTCTGTTTCTCCCTGACCTTGGCACCTCTTAATGCTTTTTAAGTTTCAGTTGCCAAGGGCTAGAGGAAATCCATTTTTGTCAAGTCTAAGCCTCTTAAGTCTCTACTTATTCATATCTGTGATCAACAATCGATGGAAGCTGTAGCTTTCACCAATTTTGGCTGCACTGCTAGGGCTGATGTCAGCCTTGCTTCTTTCACGTCTTTATGTTTGGTGGCCGGGGTATATGCAACATTGATGAGCTCATGGACATGCTGAGCCTTCAGGCCATTAAAATGATAGTGCAAATAATAGTGTAGTAAGACAGTAAGACACTAGAAGGGGGAAGAAATCATTATTATGGGAATAATAGAAATAAAGCGTGTCAGCCAGATGCAGTGGCTCATGCCTGTAATCCCAGCACTTTAGGAGGCTGAGGCGGGTGGATCACCTGAGGTCAGAAGTTTGAGACCAGCCTGGCCAATATGGTGAAACCCCATCTCTACTAAAAATACAAAAATTAGCCAAGCATGGTGGCACACACTTGTAATCCCAGCTACTGGGGGGGCTGAGGCAGGAGAATTGCTTGAACCCAGGAGGCGGAGGGTGCAGTGAGTCAAGATCATGCCACTGCACTCCAGCCTGGGTGACAGAGCCAGACTGTCTCAAAAAAAAAAAAAAAAAAAAAAAAAAAGAAAAGAAAAGAAAAAAGAAAAAGGAAAGGGTGTTTAATTCTGCTCAGGGCATGCAAGTCCCAGTGAGCGATGAGGGTCTTTCATAAAGAACCCTAACCATATCTCCACGAAGCTAATTTACTGTAAAGCGAATGGGCAGGGAAATTTCTACTCAAATTGGAGTTGAGAAATGGAGAATCAAAATATTAGCTTATAAATCAATCTTCCTTTCTTTATCTCCCAAAACACAGCTCCTTAAGTAAGCTGAGATTTGGTAGCAGAAGAGCGAGCATTCTGCTCTCTGCCTTATTTCTCCTGGGTTACTAGTAGGATGACCAACCTTTGTGGTTTGCCCAGGACTGTCCTGGTTTTACCACTAAAAGTGCCACTTTCCAGAATCCCCATAGTCCTATGCAAATCTAAAAAGTTGGTCACTCTAAGAGAAAAAGAGTATGTATAACTTTTAGCAACACAATCCTCACCAGCAAGAAAAGATAGAATCATTGCAGTTGGATTCAGCACACCCTAATGTCCATAGTTAATTCAGAAACACGTAAACCAGCAGGTCACAGAAGGCAATGAACGTGAACATGAGTGGAGAAGGGAGCTGGGGAGAAGGGCACAGCATCTCGCTGTTCAAGATCTTCTCATTTAGACTTCCTCCTTGTGAGAGAGGGAGGGGCCAGATATAACTTTTCCTTCTTCTGCATTCTATAAATGGGGAAATGTAAAAAAAGAGACAGTGCAGCTTGCTTGGCTTTCACAGCAGAGCCCACATGAAACACAGTTCTCCTGAATCCTAAATCATGATGCCTCCTAATGAGCACCATGATGTGGCATGGACTTCTAGTGCTTAGAACAACCCTACCTGGCCTGATTTAAGAATGAAGTGAGGCTAAATATCTTACCTCTGTCCCCTTAGCCATTAGTCTGGGGAAGTAGCATTTGACAATGAGGGGAGCACATGCACCCCCATCCCTGTGTACCTAAAACAGGCTCTCACTCGAGTTTGAAGTCGTACATTGACACACGTACCAGCTGGCTACTTCCTGTCCTCAGCCCAAGGCCTTCCAGCCATGGGTTGTGTTACAGGAGCAGAGGCCTCTGGAAATGGACCGCCTGGGTAGATAGACGCCTACCTTGGTGCCGTGTGCAAGTTTATCCTGTTCCGCACCCACCTCGAGTCAGAACCCTAGATGCACCAGAGCCACAGAGCCAGAACCTAGTGTTCCTTCACCCCTGCAAGCCAGAGATGGCTTTCCCATGGGGCACCACACTGGGGTCCAAGCTGCAGACCACACCAGTCAAGCTGTGTGGAGCGAGTGAGCTGCTTGGATGGTTTTCCTCAGAACTGCCTGCTGGCCCATCAGCTATTTTGCCTCAATTTTCTACTGGCACATTATCCTCCCTTTATCCATATTTTCAAGAAAATTATGCTGCAGAGGGCATAGTGTACTTCCACAGAGGTTAAGCGGAGGTTTTCTACCTCTGGAATTCACTTCCAGGAGAAGGTGGAAGCTTCTAGCACTCAGGGCCCAGCAAAAACGTGTGTGCACAAGGCCTGGAAACTTCTAGAGGGCTTCTAGGGGAAGAGGAAGCAGAGAGTCCATGGCTGGTCAGGAATGGGAGAGGGGCTTCCTTGCGAGAGAAGGCTGTACTCAATGCATGAATTAAACGTTGTTTAGAGCTTCCTTGTTATTAAAGCCACAGAACCTTGTACTAAGAACTGAACTGAGAAAATCAGAAATTAGAACTCAAAGAATTGAACAATGCATATCCTTCTCTTCAGGAGTTTTGTGTCTAACACTGGGGAAAATCAAGGAATCCTCACAGAAATAATTTGAGAGTGATGACAAGATGAGCAGTCACGTAGATTCACTCTGAAGGTTGTAATGTCAAACAACACGGAACAAAAATAATGAATTGGACCCACCTCAGACACAGGCTGCCTGGCTCCGTGGGCTCCCAGGGAACTTGATCCAAAGTAGGAAATACTGTGGGTCTGTCTGAATATCCATGGCTCTGTCAGATCCTCCAGGTTGCAAGCTACTTTTCCCAAGCTACTTTTAGACATTTGTAACTAAGAGGCTAGGGTTCTCTGGTAGCCTGCCCCTGACCCAGAAGAGAAGGTTTTCTGGGAGAAAAACCTGGTTTGCCAGTCCTTCCTCACACAGGCAAATTGAAATAAGGCCATTTTACTTCACACACAATCCATAGACATGTGCCTCCCTCATTTGCTCTACACTGTGTATGCACATGTCTGCCAGGCCCTATGCTGTACTAGGGATGTGGAGGTGGAAAGACTCCATTCCTGCTTTTCATGGCATTAGCTATCAAATCTTCTGACCCAGGGCTTCTCTGGTCCAAGGCCATAAGACCTTACAACTTACTAGGCTGGAGGAAAAGTGAGGTTGAGAAAAGAGGGTGCCCAAGCAACAGACAGTATGGTCAGCTCTAGACCCTCTCTAGCCCTCTATCCCACCAAGGTCTTCAAAGCTGCTGCAAAGCTCAGCCTTCTTACTATTGATAATATGAATATGCAACATCCCAGTAGGTCAAAGGCTCAGTTGTAATATGTATATAAAGGCCCCGAATTCCATCCCTTGTCCTGTCCTTTGGTTCCTGAGGAAAGATTTTTCAATAGATATTGCAACCTAGTTTAACAAAGAAAATCTGAGCCAGCATCTTCTGGTACAGACAAGCAGTTTGTATTTGGTAATGCTTATAAATCATGATGCTGATAGTTGCTACCTCTATAACATTAGCTAAAGGTGACATCTATATAATATGTATAACTTATCTGATCAACTGGGACTATAAACTGTGACAGAACTATCACCACCCACCCCTGAAGACCACTGGAAATGAGTTCTCAATCTGCAGGTAAACTCCGTGATGCCCGTGTGTCTGTGATCTGCCAGGGAGCTGTTGGGGTGCCAGCCCTCGTGCCACATGTTCTCGTGTGATGGCTTGCTTCCATCAGAGCCTCATCTATCCTAGTTTTTGAATCGGTTCTACCAGAAGAGAGCCAGGTCTCCTTTTATTTTCCATGGTCTTCCCAAGCACAGTGCCCCAGGAAGAGTATACTTATAACAGGTGCTTAATATGCATTGAATGAATGAAAAAATGAACAAACAAAAGAATGAGTGATTGGTCAAATGAGCTTCCCCCTGGCTTTTTAGTTACAGATATATGAGGGCTGATCCAGGAAAACCCTAGGCAGCAGAGACTTCGGTAGGCTCTGTTTATCACAGAACGTGTGGCTTGGCGAATGTAGTTGATCAGAAAAGAAAACGCCCAAATATGTGCTACTGAGAAGTATAGATGAAATTTTTGTTTTTTTTTAAAATAAAAATCAGCCTAGCCAGGGAAGCTGGGGAGCCCCCAGCTTGTGAGATGAAGCCACAAAATAACTGCAAGAATAGCAGATGGGGTGGATTTAGTTCCACAAAAGCCCCAATCCAACCCACCAACCTCCTTACAGTACACACCATACCCGATGCTGTTTATTGTTTTCTGCCCCAGGCACTGGCCAGCTCCATCTGGGGACATGAAAAACAAACCATTGCCTTGGTTGTTTCAATATCCAGTGAGTCCAACAAAAAGAGAAACCTCAAACCCTCACCAGCTGAAACCGAGAAAGGAATTCCTGTGCCTGAGCCCATGGGGGGACAGGAGCCTCTGCTGTAAACCCCATGCTTCCACTGCAGCCTGGGTGGCCTCGGCCAGGGCCTTTGCCGCTCCAGCCTCTGCTTATTAGCCTGGAAAAAGGGAAGTGAGATTTGCCATGCAGACCCTCTCCAAGCGAAGTGGTGTGATTTAATGAACCCTTGGAAAAGTAATCGCTTCTCACACCTGCAAGTGGTCCTTTGGGGTTCATCTTATGCCTCAGGACTCCCCACATTTCTTCTACTAGCAAATAAACTCCATTGGAGCCTCCCTTTTGTGGGTCTTAGGGACTGTTCCATCAGAAAAGGAATTCCTCTTCTGCTTTTCTGATAGAACTAAGGATGGGACCTCTGCTGAATCATTGCCCTCCCCAGTACCTAGGAAATAGAAGGTTTCTCCAAAAGTACACTTCATTCATGTCAATCATGGATAAACTTCGGCCAACACCACCACATAAGGTAGGAAAGAGGAAGCATTTTAACCTGAGCTCCTGGCCACTGCTTCCCAACAAGTGCTTTGGTTCACATTGATAAGCCTTGAAGTTCTAGATTCCTTTCTTTCCACTTTGCCCATGTTAGACACATGGTGGCCAAATAGCCAAAGGGTCTCTAATTTTACAAACGTGCTCTGAGAGTTGGATTTTATGATTGTTATTTTAACCAAATCTAAGACTAGAGAAGTCTGATTAAGTAAATGATGCAGAATCTTCTGTTTTGTAGGGTTTTTAGTAACATGAGTATTTATGTGGGAAGTAAAAAGAAATCAAGATAAAATCTGTACGTATGGTATAACCTTAATGATATTTGTAAAAGAAATGAAAGCATTAATACATTATGATGAAATTATGATTCATTCTTTTCTGTGTACTTTTTTGCATTTTTAAGTTTTCCATAGTGAGCAAGCATGACTTTATTTTAAAAATATATTATATAGACCGGGTGCAGTGGCTCACCTCTGTAATCCCAGCACTTTGGGAGGACGAGGCTGGCAGATCACAAGGTCAGGAGATCAAGACCTCCAGGCTAACACAGTGAAACCCCATCTCTACAAAAAATACAAAAAAATTAGCCGGGCGTGGTGGCGGGTGCCTGTAGTCCCAGCAACTCAGGAGGCTGAGGCAGAAGAATGGCGTGAACCCTGGAGGCGGGGCTTGCAGTGAGCTAAGATGGCACCACTGCACTCCAGCCTGGGTGACGGAGTGAGACTCATCCCCCTGATGATTAAAAGCAGCTAGGAGATGCTGCAGACAGGTCATCACTGTACCTAGAATAAAGCAGTCACAAGAAGGCTGGTAAACTCCCGCTAAGTGGGGAGCTGTGCACTGGCTTCAACTTCCAGTGCCTCTCCATTAAGAAAGTGTAGCATTTCTCTCTTATTCATGATCAAACTTCTTCAAAGTACTGGCAATGAACTTTGTGTACATTTCTTTACCTCCTATTCACTTTTTCAATTGTTTAAAACTTATTTAACTGTGCGATAAATTTAAACAATAAAATATCTAGCTACCTACCATCCAGAGTGAGCAAATTTTACTATTTTGTTATCATTTGCTTCAGATAATTTTTAAAGAAATAAGACATTACTGTTGAATCCTTGAATTCCCAATCTATTTTTCTCCCTCTTTTCCCAGAAATAACTTCCTTCCTGAGGCTGGTATGGCATCTTTCCTGTCCATGTTTTATACTTTCACAGCATATGTATATATCCACTTGCAATAAGTAGCATCTTGTACATTTTTCAATTTACATAAGTAGTATCAGGCTACAGATATTCTTCATCCTGATATCTTTTACTCAATTCTTTCCTAGTAATTGCTTAAGATTAATAGAACTAGAGTTTATTATTTCACATTAACTGTTATGCTATATTCAAGTATGATTATACAAATATTTAATCATTGGTCTATTGAGTGATCCTTAATTGGCTTCCCTAATTTCTCTATTATCTATTTTGTAGGTTTGCTATTGCCATTGTGAAACTCTGTGGATTTGCAAATTGCTATTTTGAATGGAATATATATATATAGCAATTTGAATATATATGTGTATATGTATGTACTATTATAGTTTATTAATTGACACCCATAAATATGTAGGAATGATACTAACTTCTCAGTGCTTATACCTTAAAAGTTCCCTTGGATTTTGTATATAAATGATTATATCTTCAAACAATGAAATTGGTTCTTCCATAACCAATCTTTATACCTCTTATTTCTTTTTCTCATCTTACTGCACTATCTTGAACTTTAGTACAGTTTTTTTGTTTTTGTTTGTTTTGAGACGGAAGCTCGCTCTGCCGCCCATGCTGGAGTGCAGTGGCACAATCTCGGCTCACTGAACTTATGGTTTCAAGCGATTCTCCCGTCTCAGCCTCCCGAGTAGCTGGGACTACCAGCGTGTACCACCACATCCAGCTAATTTTTATATTTTTGATAAAGACAGGGTTTCACCGTGTTGGCCAGGCTGGTCTTCAATTCCCAACCTCAGATAATCCACCTGCCTTGGCCTCCCAAAGTGTGGGATTACAAGCATGAGCCACTGCACCCGGCTAGTAAAGTTTTAAATAGAAGCACTGGTAACAAGAAATTTTGTTACATTCCTAACTTTAAAGAGAATGTGTCTATCATTCAGTCATTAAATATGATCTTTGCTGGAGGTTTTTGGTTACTGATTCAATTTTTTTTAAAGCTATAGGTTAAGATATATAGGTTTCTTCAGCTTGTCTATGTCTTGAGTCGAGATTAATAAGTTATATTTTACTATAAAATTGTACATACTGTCTACATTTTCAAATTATTGACATAAAAGACAATATTGTTTTTAATCTACATGCTATCTATAGTATATTCATTTTTTCATTTTATGTTGTTTTTCTCAATGTTTCCGGAAGGTTGTCTATTTTGTCATTCTTTTTAAGAAACTGCTTTGGTACTTGTTTATCTCCTTTGCTGTTTTTTAGATTACTTTTCATCAATTTCTCCTCCTACCACTTCAGGAATGTTACTTGTAGTTGTTTTCTCCTAACATTTTTGAATGAAACAGTGAACTCATTATTTTTCAATTATTCTTCCTTTCTAATATGTACATTTAAAATTTTCAGTGTTCTTCAATGTACCACTTTAGCTGAATGCCACAAATATTGTTCTAAATTGTGTAATTTTTTATTATTTAGTTCTAAATATTTTATGATTTCCATTATGGCTTCTTCTATGACACATGAAACATTTGTGTGCTATTTAATTTTCAAATTTGAAAATCAGAAGAATATCATTGAGAAGGACATTGATTCTACAATATTTATCTTTTTCGTGGTCTAGTATGTGGTCAGTTTTGAAAAACAAAATTCCAACGTATGCACTATGGGTGCAAGATTCTCTTTGTTTCCATTAGATCCTTTTGTGACAGACATCTGTTCTTAAGAATGCAGCATCCCCTCTCCCCAGGTCCCTTCTGTCAGTCAGGGCTTTCTAACTATTTCTAGTCAGTGTAACATGAGTGGAAGGGTCACGTCCCTCCCAGGCTGAAGCAGTGAAAAGCCATGCGTAAATCTCCACTCCCTTTTCCCCTCCTGCCATGAATGAAGAAGGCCACTTGTCCCAGATGATGGAGCTAAAAGGTAAGAAGCCTCCATTAGCCTCAGTGGGGCCACAGCCCCAGGCTCTTTTGGACAAACTATGAGTGAGAAATAAAATCATGACTATTAAGTCATTGACATTTTGTGGTTAAGATGTTTCTGCACCATCCCCTCTCCTAACCTCATAAATATGGCTTATTAACTATGTTATTCAAGTTTTCCTTTTTCTTACCAATTTATCACTTCATATACTATTTTCTGAGAAAGGTATGTTAGAATTATTATGATTATACAGTCATGCATTGCTTAACAACAGGTTTATGCTCTGAGAAACATGTCATTTGGCAATTTTGCCACTGTGCGAACATCACGGAGTGGACTTATACAATCCTAGATGATGTTGTCTACTACACACCTAGGCTATATGGTACAACCTATTGCTCCGAGGCTAGAAAACCATATAGCACATTATTCTATAGAATGCTGTAGGCAATAATAACAATAAGTATTTGTGTATCTAAACCATATCTAAACATAGAAAAGGTACCATAAAAATATGGTATAAAAGATTAAAATGTACTCCTGTGTACAGCACTTACCATGAATGAAGCTTGTAGGACTGGAAGGTGCTCTGGGCCAGGGAGTGAGTGAGTGGTGAGTGAATGTGAAGGTCTAGGACATTACTGTCTGCCATTGTAGACTTTATCAACAGTGTACACTTTAATAAATTAGCTTTAGCTTACTGTAACTTTTACTTTATAAACTTTTAAATTTAACTAGACTCTTCTATAATCTTTAGCTTAAAACAAACACATTGTATAAAGTATTTTCTTTATGTCCTTATAAGTTTTCTATTTTTTTATTTTTTAACTTTTTAAACTTTTTATTAAAAACTAAGACACAAACAATTACATATATTAGCCTAGGTCTACATGGGGTCAGAATCATCAGTATAATTGTCTTCTACTTCCATGTCTTGTTCCCCTAAGACCTTTCAGAAGAAGGCATAGAGCTGTCATCTCCTATGATAAAAATGCCTTCTTCTGGAATACCTCCTAAAGGAAGTATTCCTGAGGATGTTTTATAGCTAACTCTTTTATATAAGTAAAAGGAATACACTCTAAAATAATGATAGAAGGTATAGTAAATACATAAACCAGTAACAGTCATTTATTATCATTATCAAGTACTACGTACTATACGTAATTGTGTCCTAGACTTTTATATGACTGTCAGTGCAATAGTTTTGTTTATACCAGCATCACCACAAAGACATAAGTAATGTGTTGTGCTGCAACATTATGACAACTACAATGTCACTAGGTAAAAGACATTTTTCAGCTTTAATCTTATAGGACCACCACATGAGAGTCAGTCGTTGACAGAAACATTGTTATATAGCACTTGACTGCATTTATCAATTTCTCTCTGTACCCTAATTTTTGTCATTCCAAGAGTAATATATGTTTGATGCATATAAGATGCAATATAAAATCTTCCTGTTTTTTGTATCATCATATAATGATACTGTATCACTAGTAATTTTTATCTTAAAAATATTCTGTAACATTAATATGACACTGATTAATTACCTGCATTTTAATATTTTTCTGCTATATCTTTTTTCATTATATACATATACACATATGTACATGCATATTCACATATATTAATATAGTTGGAATATATTTTCACCCACTCTGAAAATCTGTATTTTAATAGATGTCTTCAAGCTGTTTATATTGGTAAGAACTGATATTTTTATTTGTTTCTTGTTTAGTTTTTCATTGTATTTCATGTTTGTATGACCATATTTTTTTACTTCTTTATACTCTTTTCCCAACTTACAACGGACTAATCAAGGTTTTTCTGTCTTTTCATCTTGATTACTTTTAAGAATTGCAGACGTACACATACACACACACTCATTCTCTCTTTCTCCTGCTCAGTACTCAATGGGATTCTACTATCTGAAGATTAAGCCTTTCATAAATTTATAAAAATTCTTAGATATCTTTGATTCCCTTACCAACTACATTGAGAAATTGAGGCACTAAAGGCTCTAGACAGAAATCCAAGAATTAAACATAGTTTCATTGTACTCAACTTTCAAACAGTTGCCCAATGCATCCAGTTTTGCCCTTAGAGATTTCTAATTCTATCCCCTGCAGTCCATCCTCTCAATCGCTGTCTTTGTTTAGACCCTCAGCCTCTCTTACCTGGAATGTAGGATTCTCCTAGCAGGCCTTCCTGTCTCAAGATGCCCCAGTCAACACATTAAGCCATAAAAGATAACAATAAATTGCTGTATTAAGCCAGTGAGTTTTAGGGTGGTGCTATAGTCTGAATGTTTGTGTCCCCTCCAAAATTCTTACATTGAAACCTAATCTCCAAAGTGATGGTATTAAAAACATGAGGGCTTTGGAAGATAATTGGGTCATGAGGGCAGACCCCTCATGAATAATACTGGTATCCTTATAAAGATGCCCAAGGGAGCTTGTTTGCCCCTTCTGACACGTGAGGACACAGAAAGAAGGTGTCATGTATGAGAAACGGGTCCTCACCTCACCCAATCAGATTGGCTGGCACCTTGATCTTGGCCTTCCCAGCCTAGACAACTATTAGCAATAAATTTCAGTTATTTATAAATTACCCAGTCTAAGATACTGTTATAGCAGCCAAAGGGACTAAGGTAGTTTCTTATGCAGGAGTTGATAACCGAAATACTATCATATAATGAATACTCAATACGTAGTTGTACAACGAAAAAGGAAACTGACACTTCATAAGTTTCCATGGGGGTAACTTATATTTGAGTTTCCTGTAATTTAGAAATACAGTGTACCTCTAGGAAAAGTAGTTCATTCACAAAGTCCATCTGCTATAGATTGAATGTTTATGTCCCCTCAAAATTCATATGTTGAAACTTAATCACCAATGTGACAATATTTGGAAGTGGGGCAATTAGAACATGATTAGATCATACAGATAGAACTCTCATGAGTGGGATTAATGCCCTCATAAAAAAGACCCCAGAGAGCTCCCTCACTCCATCTACCACATGAAGACACAGTGAGAAGATGGCTGTCAGTGAGCCAGGAAGTGGGCCCTCACCAGACACCAAATCTGCCAGTGCCTTGATCTTGGACTTCCCAGCCTCCAGAACCATGAGAAACAAATTTATGTTGTGTATAAGCCACCCAGTCTATGGCATCTTTATTATAGCAGCCTGAATGGACTAAGATACCATCTGAATAAAACATCCAGCAAAGCATATTTGCTGGATAAATGAACATTTTTCAAATACTTCCTACCTGCATCACACTCCTTGAGGATGTTATTCTAGAAACCACATAAAAATCATATATATATATATACTTTCCAAGTTGGAGAAGTAAATGGACTTGACCCACCAAAGAGAATTGAACAGAAAGATGTTGTAAAGTCAAGGCCAGTTTTTATTTACCTTCACTCTTTGGGGGTCAATCTAAAGCAGAAAGGATGCTTCATGTTGGAGTTCGGATCAGCCGGATATCTCAGCCCAAGTGTCTTCTGAGAAGACCACAGAAGGGGAATGTCAGATTGGAAGTAAAATCAGATATTCTTAAATGACTCTTTCAGCTTCTCACTTTCCTAAGAATTGGGAAAATGCTCAATATTACCTTTAGTAAGAATGAGCTTGCCCACCTAAAAAAGGCAAATGGTTTCGAGAGAGGAGTTTTATCCACTGATGCCTCATCAGTAGAACACATGATTTTCACTGAGCCTTGAACAAAAGTGAGGTGGTCTGAAAGTGATGTTCTCCACATCACTGAAACACAAAGCCCGGCCTGGATTGGGGGATTGGGTGTGCTAAATATATTTTATTTTCTCAGTCAGATCCACTTTCCACCCTACCTGGAATGCACAGACTGACACGTATGAGCACAATCAAGGGGTTCCATTGATATCTGACTTCCCATTGTGTTCAGACAATGGAAGGCTCTAACGAGAGGTCAGAAGGCAGGAGGACAGTGGAATCAGGGTATTGTTCCTCTAGCTCTACTCCTGTTGGTTGCCATCATTTGGCTGCCTTTCTCTACTGAAGAGCATAGCTCCTGTTGGGCAACCCTATCCATAGTTTTTGTTGTGTGTAGGATTTAGAAACCAGTCCTTCCCTTGTCCCTTTAGACCTAGGGACTTCCCTCTTCCCTTTGATCCAGTTAGCCTCCTTATGGATTGCAGATTCCTGAGGACTGAGAATAATCTTATTATTCTTTTTCTTCCTATTTAGGTCCTCCATCCCTTGTTACTCCCCACTAAATCCTGCCTATACCTTCATTAAACTCTTCGAATAACCCATACTGAGTGTGCTGGACTCCGCTACAGATGGTTTATGCTGCAGTGCCATTCTGTCCCTACCACCCACGTCCCCATGCCAGATATATTTTCTAAATCTGTGGTGAGAAGAGACAGGAAGGGGAGATAGGGGCCATTTCCTACCACAGTTTCAGGCATGAGTCTTCCAGCATGCCCTTCTTGGAGATTACATGGGCAGCTTACCCTGGGGCAGCCAGACCTTCCATCTTAGGTAACAGACCCCAGTGTTTAGGCCGTCTGCCCGTGTGGACTCTACACCATTTCTCTCCCCTGATGTATGAGGACTGAATGAAGAGATGGCCCATCTCAACGAGGCAAACAAATAAAAAACAAGGTCACTAATTCTGAAGAAGCAGAGTGAAAAGACATCGACCTGAAACAGAGCATTAAGAAGAGTCAAGAAATGCAGCACTTCAGAATAGGTAGAAGGGAAGTGGGCTGGAAAAGTTCCTCAGCATTTTTTTTTTTAAACTGTTTCTGGGTCTTTGTGGACATAGCGTGTTTAATGGGACCAAAGAGGCTGGACAGGGTTTTCCCAGTATTTTCCCATTTCTTCCTTCTTGCTAATCCAAGAACCTTCTCTCAAGCCTGCCCTTAGCAGTGGTTTTCATGCTGAACTCCAGGGCACCCTGGGTTCCACAGAAGCACAGGGGCCTCTTTGTGGGTGAGGGAAAGGCTGAGCAGGTGGGGCTCCAGGTCAGAGGCTGCCCCTAGTCCTGTCCACTCAAATTACCTCTTTATTCATTTTCCAAGTTGGGTTCTACATTGCATTTCATTTTTTAAAGGCAAGAAGGGGGAGTCTGTTACTTTTTTAAAAAAGAAAGAAATGAAAACCATTGCTCTTCCCTCTTCCCTTTGATCCAGTCAACCTCCTTAGGGATTGCAGATTCCTAAGGACTGAGAATGATCTTATTATTCTTTTTCTTCCTATCTTAGGGCTCTCACAACATCGATATGAAGCTGAAAAGTTACCCCAAAGCTGAGCATCTTAATGTTGAAGCAATGCTGG